>NC_000006.12:10817575-10969090 GCF_000001405.40 Homo sapiens
ATAAATTTGTATTTTAAAAAGCATAAATAGATAGTATGTGTATTTATATGAGATACTGGCCTTCACTTTCAAGGATTTACAACAGAAAAATGCTGGCTATGTCACAGCTGGTTCTTCAGTGTTAAATGTTACCCTTTGATAAAGGTAACAGAACTGGTTAATTTAAATTTACCTTTTGGAGCAATCAATCTTTCTCTCATAAAGTATGACATATCAAAAGGATCCAAAGAACTCATGGAGAGAATAACAGGGAAAAACATGAATAAAAACATACCTGTCTTTCATTAATTGATAGAGGTTTTCTTTCATATATTCAAATATAAAATAAAGATGGTCATTTTCTCTGATAACTTCTTTCAATTTAATAACATTGGCATGATTAAGTTTCTTCAGAGACTGAAAAATAACAAATATGCCTTAAAATTTCTTAAAAAAAACTTACAGAATTTGGCAAAATTGCATCAATGCTAAGTGTAATAATTACCTTATGTAATTTTCCATTTCTCCTGGGTTCATTAATTAATTACATTTTAATATCTACATAATTGCTTTAAGTAATGAACGTTAAGTGCAAACAATAAATCAAGCCAACAATAGCTATTAAACATTTCAATCTGTTACGTTTTTCCCTTGGTTTATAAATAGGTCTAACTTTTGTCTGACTTAACCATGCAAAGGTATCCAAAATTGTATCCAAGTCTTTAAGCATAAAATCTAAGGAAATGGTATGTAGTAATTTAAAAAGTTGTCTTTGGTGGCTGAGCGTGGTGGCTCTTGCCTGCTATCCCAGCACTTTGGGAGGCTGAGGCGGGCAGATCACCTGAGGTCAGGAGTTGCAGACCAGCCTGGCCAACATGGTGAAACCTTGTCTCTACTAAAAATACAAAAATTAGCTGGGCATGGTGACACACACCTGTAGTCCCAGCTACTCGGGAAGCTGAAGCAGGAGAATCACTTGAACCCAGGAGGTGGAGGTTGCAGTGAGCTGAGATCACACCACTGCACTCCAGCCTGGGTGACAGAGTAAGACTCTGTCACAAAAAAAAAAAAAAAAAAGTTGTCTTTGCATAATATGATTTTAAGATGCTCTTTTAAAAGTGAAAGTGAATTTTCAAATGTGAGGATATAATTATACGCTGTTCTCCACTGACATCAGAACCAGAAGAAATGAGAAATTAATTTAGGAATATAAAGGAAAAACAAACAAAATTATCTTCAGAATGCTTCCCACAGAGAATAAAATCATCTTAACTACGGTCCTCAGGTAGTGTTAAGGCCTTCTCAGGTTCTTTTCATCTTTAGGATTTTACCTTAACTTCTCTCAAGTTCATGCATTCATCCCAAGAATAGAACTTTCTCTTCATCCTAAAATAAATTAGGGAAAGTTTAGTGTTCAGGGATTGAGGATTCAAAGACACACATTACACTGTTGGCTTTCTTACTCCACTACTGGTTCACTTTGGGCGAGCTATCTTTCTCTGTCCTCATCCTTATAAGGAAATCACCTCCTATACCTCAAGGCTACTTGGTAGGCCTACGTCACATCCAAAATTCAGCTTTAATCAAAAGTGAAAAAATTACCATTAATCTTCTTTTCTGGGTGAGTTCTTAACATTTCTCTAATCAGTTTAATTGTGCCTTTCTTAAAGGGTCCTTTTCAAGATTCTCTCTTTTTAGAACTTAAGAGGCCCATAAAGTTAAATGTCTCCCTACTTAAATGATTTAAGTTGGCAAAAATTCAGAAGTAACTACAAACGTTAGAAATGGCTTTCTTGGCCGGGAACGGTGGCTCACGCCTGTAATCCCAGCACTTTGGGAGGTTGAGGTGGGCGGATCACAAGGTCAGGAGTTCAAGACCATCCTGGCTAACATGGTGAAACCCCGTCTCTACTAAAAATACAAAACAATTAGCTGGGCGTGGTGGCAGGCGCCTGTAGTCCCAGCTACTTGGGAGGCTGAGGCAGGAGAATCACTTGAACCCAGGAGGCAGAGGTTGTAGTGAGCCAAGATTGCGCCACTGCACTCCAGCCTGGGCGACAGATGAGAAATGGCTTTCTTGAATTTTGTTCTTTACTTCCCCTCTTTCATCCCAATGTTGGTTTCTATTAGAGATAAATATACCAAAAGTGTATTTAAGAGTAAAAACTATTTCCACTATATACACCAGTTAGTTGTTGTTTTTATATGAACATGTGTTTTTATATGAACAGATTTTTAGTCACCATACAAAACAGGGGATAATAAACAGGATTCATGGCCGGGCGCGGTGGCTCACACCTGTAAGCCCAGCACTTTGGGAGGCGGAGGCGGGTGGATCATGAGGTCAGGAGATCGAGACCATCCTCGCTAACACAGTGAAACCTCATCTCTACTAAAAATACAAAAAATTAGCCAGGCGTGGTGGCGGGCACCTGTAGTCCCAGCTACTTGGGTGGCTGAGGCAGGAGAAGGGCGTGAACCCGGGAGGTGGAGCTTGCAGTGAGCCGAGATCGCGCCACTGCACTCCAGCCTGGGTGGCAGAGTGAGACTCTGTCTCAAAAAAAAAAATTTAAAAAAAACAGGATTCATATTCTAAAAAATGTTTCTTCAGGCATGGGAATTATAAGGCTGGGCTGTGAAAAAGAAAAACCAAATATGCCATGCTGCTTTCATTTAGTATTATAATCTCCTATCGAGATGTTCCAGAAGATCCTTGGGAAGCTTAGCGTTGTCTTTATTAATTACAATAATCCTTAAGATCCAGAGGCTCTATGGGGGTATAATACACAGGTGAGGAAATGAGTAAAAATTGGCAGCACAACATCACAGCCAAGAACAGAGGCTGTGGAACCGCACTGCCTGGATTCAAATCCTTGCCCAGTCACTCACCATATGACTTTGGACAAGTCACCTAATGACCTGTCTGTGCCTCAAATTCCTTAGCTAGCCATACAGTAGAAACTACTGCATAAGAAAAGCATCTTGCAAACTGCTTAGTTCAGCACTCAATAACTACTAGATGTTTTCATGTTTACCAATATCTATGATTGACTATAAGACGAAATAAAGGACATCACTGAGATGACCTCAAGGGCATCACTGCTATTATTTCTAAAATATCCTTAGTGAATCAGAATTTCATTTGCAGTTACTCAGGTACTAGATATTTATGAAGAAGCGTGATGAAATGGGGGTTTACTAGCTTATTAAAAGATACTTTTCAGTGCCATAGATTTATAAAATGTCTTGCTAAAATGTAAAATGTAAATCTAGCACAATGATGAATTTAAAATAAAACAGAAGCCAATTCAAATACAGCTATGAAAGAAAAGTTGATTAATAAAATGATCATATCCATGTGAAACTGCACATATAATCTGCTATGATTCTTTTTATTTATTTTATTTTTTTTGAGACATGGTCTCATTCTGTCACCCAGACTGGAGTGCAGTGGCCTGATCATGGCTCACTGTAGCCTTGACCTCCTGGGCTCAGGTGATCCTCCCACCTCTGCCTCCTGGGTAGCTGGGACTATAGGTACATGCCACCACGCCCAGCAACTTCTTGTATTTTTTGTAGAGATGGGGTTTCACCATGTTGCTCATGCTAGTCTCAAACTCCTGGGCTCAAGCAATCTGCCCACCTCGGCCTCTCAAAGTGCTGGGATTACAGGCATGAGCCACCACACCCAGCCTGCTATGATTCTTGAAACGTAATTTCAGAATTTTATTTCATTTTTGAGATGGAGCCTCGCTCTGTCACCCAGGCTGGACTGCAATGGCGTGATCTCGGCTCACTGTTACCTCTGTCTCCCAGGTTCAAGCGATTCTCCTACCTCAGCCTCCCAAGTAGCTGGGATGACAGGTGTGTGCCACCAAGCTCGACTAATTTTTGTATTTTTAGTACAGATGCGGTTTTGCCATGTTGGCCAGGCTGGTCTCGAATTCCTGACCTCAGGTAATCCGCCCACCTCAGCCTCCCAAAGTGCTGGGATTACAGGCATGAGCCACCACTCCAGGTCTAGAATTTTAAAAGTATCCAATCTTTTAGAAGCCAAATAAAAATACGTTCAAGTTACTTTTCAAGCTTCAGTGATAACTGAAACTTTCATTCTACCTGTAAAATCTGCACTCTCACTGGCATGCTGGTGTGCGCCTGTAGTCCCAGCTACTCTGGAGGCTGAGGCAGGCGGACTGCTTGAGCTCAAAAGTTAGAGGCTGTAGTGTGCTATAACCGAGCCTGTGAATAGCCACTGCACTCCAGCCTGGGCAACACAGGGAGACTTTGTCTCTTAAAAAAAAAAAAATCTGAGGCCGGGCACGGTGGCTCACACCTGTAATCCCAGCACTTTGGGAGGCCAAGGCGGGCGGATCACGAGGTCAGGAGATGGAGACCCTCCTGGGTAACAGGGTGAAACCCCATCTCTACTGAAAATACAAAAAATTAGCCAGGCGTGGTGGCGGGCGCCTGTAGTCCCAGCTACTTGGGAGGCTGAGGCAGGAGAATGGCGTGAACTCGGGAGGCAGAGCTTGCAGTGAGCTGAGATCGCACCACTGCACTCCAGCCTGGGCAACAGAGCGAGACTCCGTCTCAAAAAAAAAAAAAAAAAAAAAAGCTGGCCGGGTGCGGTGGCTCACACCTGTAATCGCAGCACTTTCAGAAGCTGAGGCAGGTGGATCACCTGCGGCCAGGAGTTCAAGACCAGTCTAACCAACATGGAGAAACCCCGTCTCTACTAAAAATACAAAAATGAGCTGGGCATGGTGGCGCATGCCTATAATCCCAGCTACTTGGGAGACGGAGGCAGGAGAATCGCTTGAACCTGGGAGGCAGAAGTTGCAGTGAGCCGAGATCGCGCCATTGCACTCCAGCCTGAGCAACAAGAGCAAAACTCCGTCTCAAAAAAAAAAAAAATCTGTATTCTCTTCATCCATCCAGATGTACTCTCTTCATCTCTTCTTCTTTCCAGCAATTACCACTTCTCAGCAGTACTTCCCTTCCCTAAGGCAATGCATGTATCTATTTACAACAAATACAGAAGTTTCCTTACAAAATGATTATCCCAAAGGTAAACCAATTGCTTAGAATAGCTAAGAAAAGGCATTTCCTTTTAGGTTCCTTGCCATCTTTTGTCATTTATTAATTCGTCAATATCCACTCCATGCCAGGGCAATGAACAAATAAGAGATGGTACCATGGTGTTCCCATCTGACACAGGAAATCAACTTCAGAAATAGAACTACCTCTCAAGTTCTTAAAGGGCAGAGGGCTTAATAGATATTTATTAACTTAATTAAGTGAGGGAATCTTTCTACCATCCTCTATCATAAAGTAAATAACTTTTTTTAAAAAAAATTGCAGAAAAGACAAGATTTCAGTGATCTAAATTAAAACTCCCCAAAGGAAACATTCAAAGAAACCTCTTATTTTGTTCAGTGTAGTGTTCTCCCAACTTCTAACCATTCCCCCTCCAACACATCCTAGCCAGTTTTGACTGCATTTCTAGACCGCTCAAAAGGTTTGCCTGCTGAATTAAGCACAGACTTTCTTCTCCATGTTTACATTAGCAGATTACACCACCCTGTCCATCATCTACCAACTGCCATGCCATGCCCTTGCTTCTTCAGGCCAACTCCCAAAAGCAGAGGGCCAGCATTCAGCTTCTTCTCTGCTTCTCAACGTAATTCTGAACTTGTTTACTTCCTACTTGTTAAATTCCATATGGAACTTGTTAAATTCCATATCTAATAACACATGGAACTTGTTAAATTCCATAGCTGAACTTCTCTAATTCCAATAGAAACCCCCACTCCCAGCCCCCGACACCGGCTCTTTTGTTTAAAAGGTTTTTAGAATGAAAACACCTTCCAGGTAATCAATTTCCCTTTAAGGGGACATGTTTACTGCCCACTCTGAAAATTAAGAATAGGCAGCTCTTCTTCAGCTACTCCACAAAATGTATTCAATGTAGAACGTATTTATTTATTTATTTAGAGACAGAGTCTCACTCTGTTGCCTGGGCTGGAATGCAGTGGTGTGATCTCAGCTCACTGCAACCTCCGCCTCCTGGGTTCAAGTGATTCTCCTGCTTCAGCCTCCTGAGTTGCTGGGATTACAGGCACACACGACCACACCCGGCTAATTTTTGTATTTTTAGTAGAGATGGGATTTCACCTTGTTGGCCAGGCTGGTCTCAAACTCCTGACCTCAGGTGATCCACCCCACTTGGCCTCCCAAAGTGCTGGGATTACAGGCATCAGCCACCACACCCGGCCTGGAATTTATTTTTAATTTTAGGGGAAAAGTATCGATGGATCTTAAAGCGGTATCTAACAAGTTATACCTAGAATATTTATAGCCTAAATTGGAAATGCCTAAAATTTTATATCACCAAGCAAAAGATTGATAGGATATTATGGGATGTGAATTGTTTTGGTAACAAACAAAAAAAAAAAATGAGAAGGGAGAATGAAGACTCTAATATCTGTAATTTTCAGGTAAAGTTTATCCCTCTATATCGGGCTTTAAAGAGATGGCAAAGCCTGCTTGTATGACTCTTGTAGATAACAATCACTGTCTCATTCAGACTTGAGGAGTAACGGCTATAGTGAATATTCAATGTAGGTTAAACTGATAACCCTGCCAGTAGCCTGGCTTCACAGTTGCTTAACTCCTAAGAGATGTTCACCTCTGTCTTACCACAGTTACCATAAACTCCTTGTTATGAGGAATGGTCCTACTGTCCAAGACCTAACAACCTAACTTCAGACTCTTGATCATAACCTCCTATCCTTTTCACCGTCGCTACCCTCAAAACTTCTTTATACAACCTCTTTCTTGTTCAACTTGTGGCTATTCCTACAACCACCTGTGTGGCGTGGTTTGCCTCCTCATCCAGCTTGGCCCCACCATCAGCCTTTCACCCACTACACTCTCAAGATCACACACACGTTCTGAACATCCCCTTCTCCCACCGTTCCACTGCTCCTGCCTTGTCATCCTCCAGTCTCCCCTCTCCTGCCTTGTCATCCTCCAGTCTCCCCTCTCCATACAGATGGGTGGAGGTGGAAAGCAAAGTCATGAAAATGCTCCCAGCGGCTCCACTTTCACATTCGTCCATGTAATTTCAGGCGGACTCTTCCTGACACTGGGCAACCCCTTTGTGGCTTTCTTAACAACTCAGTAACTCATCCTTCACAACTCTCCAAAGCTCCATGCCTCCACTGCCGTACTTCCCGCTACTCCTTGTCCCACTGCAGTCTGGCTTCCACTATTCCACTGGAACAGTGCTCACCGTGGCCGCCAGTTATGTCATATTCCCCAAACCCAAGGAACACCACAGCCGATGATATTGTTGAAATATCACAAGGCCATTTCCAGCCCCTTTCCTTCTGCCTCCTAATATAGAGACTGGAAGAGTAAATACTCACTCTCTCAGCCTCCTTTGGAAGAGAGACCACGTGACCCAATACTAGCCAGTAAGATGTAAGGGGATGTCCTTGAGGACTTCTGGGGAAGAATTATCACTAGCTGATAAAAGATGAGAAGAGTTTGCTCGTATTATTCTGCCCTCTTCCCTCCTTGAACATGGACGTAATGCCTGGAGGTGAAGTAGCCATAAGGTGGTCATTAGGTGACACATTTGAGGACAAAAACAATGCTAACCGCTCAGCATGAAAATCATAGAAAACATCTGAATTTCTTGGGTACAATGTTGAGCCATTGAAAGAGCTCTGGAATCATCACACTCCAGACTTCTTGATACGTGCTTCTGCTTCTTTAGATCTTTCCCTTGGTTTCAGATATTTTCTACATTCTCCTGGTTTCTACCCTATTTCTCTGGTGGCTCCTCAGACTTTTTTGTAAGATCCTATTCCAGGGCCCATCCTTTATATGCCATGGTTTCTCGGTGCCCTAAATGAGGACCTCTTTTCTTCTCCCTCTAAAGAGTTTCAATTGCCATCTGTAGACTAACCATTCCAAATCATTAGCCTGCACCTCTGTTTTGAGATTTAAATGCAAATATTCAATTGACTAAAAGTCATCATGCCCCAGACTGAATTCAGCTTTACCCCTAAGCCTGTGATTTTCCCCTCCTTGACATGGTACATGGTACATGGCACCACCACTATACATTTAAGCCAGAATCCCAGGAGTTAGCCTGGACTCTTCCCCATTTTTTACTCCTCCCTCCACCCTCATGCCCAGTCACCAGTTTCTATAGAGCCTGCTTCCTACATGTCCCTTGACTGTATCCACTTACATCCATCCCCAAAGCTATTTTCCTGTCAGGCCACCACCACTTCTAACCAACATGACTGCACTGACCTTCTAACCTCTAACCAAGATGACTGTATTGACCTTCTAACTGGCCACCTGGTGTCCAGTCTTGACCTCTTCAATCGTCTCCACTCTTCTGCTAATCAGCCAGTTCCAAAAATTTGATCACATCAACAATTCTGCTGAAAATCCTTCATGACCTTCTAGTCTTCAAGATATACACGCTCCTTCATCTGGCTTCACGACTTCACCTGCTAGCCTCACGTCCCTCCTCTGCCCCACTCGTAATCCACGCTCCAGCCACCTACACTTCTTTCAGTTACTCAGCCCCAGTTAGGCCCTCACACACTCTCTCTCGCCTCCAGGGCTTCATACGTACTATTTCTTACTCCCTGGAGCATTTCCCCCCACCCCCCCTTTTAAAAAAATAATTTTCTCTCATTCTTGAGGTCTCAATGACTTGGGAAGACTTTTGTGATACTTCTCCAGTGTGGCTTATCTAGGCTCCCACAGGACCCAATATTCCCCCATCATAGGACTTAGCATACTTGATGTTGTAACTTCTTGAATCTGTTGGTCTTCCTGAGTATATTGTAAGACATCTATTTTGTCCCGATCATGAAATACAACAGGAGTTTAACAATTTTGTGCTAAATGAATTTTTCAATTTTCTTCAAGTCTTCCATGGGACTCCTCTTCTCATTCATTTTTGCTCCATCTTTGCCTAAGGTGGAGCACTGCCCAACACACAGTAGATACTGCATGTGGCAGACACACGGTAAGCTGAGTAGCTGAAAGCCCTCCTTCTCTACCTCTTCATTCACAGAGTCAGCTTTTACACAGGAATATAAAATGCTCAGCTAAGTAATCAGTTTCCCAGCCTCCCTGCAGCTAGGGGTGCCATGTGGTACACTTCTGATCAACGAGAAGAAACCCTATGCATTCTGGATGGGATGTGAGAAAGCTTTTGCTTTCCCAATTAAAAGAGTACAGTAGGCCGGGCACGGTGGCTCACGCCTGTAATCCCAGCACTTTGGGAGGCTGAGACTGGTGGATCACCTGAGGTCGGGAGTTCGAGACCAGCCTGACCAACATGGAGAAACCCCGTCTCTACTAAAAATGCAAAATTAGCCAGGCGTGGTGGTACATGCCTGTAATCCCAGCTACTCGGGAGGCTGAAGCAGAAGAATCGCTTGAACCCAGGAGGCAGAGGTTGTGGTGAGCTGAGATCGCGCCACTGCACTCCAGCCTGGCAACAGAGCAAGAATCCATCTCAAAACAAAACAAAACAAATACCATATTTTTGAAGGATAAAACAAATACCATATTTTTGCCACTCAGAAAAAAATGATGGACATTTTGTCATATAAAACCAGACAGTAATAACCATCTGTGGGACTGTACCCAAGACCCAACACCCCTTCTGATTCGCCTACCCTCCTCCCCAGAACCCATGGCTATCATGGATTTTGGGTGTATCTTTCCAGGCCTTTAAAAATATTTTTGTATATGGATGTATTTGTATATAATAAAGTATTTCTTTGTGTGAATTTACATAATCATTTAATCTACAAATGTGGGCTATTTCAGCTCATTTTGTCTAATAACACTCATTTCTTAGGTTTCTGTCTTATAGCAGTAGTAAGTATCCCCAATGCAATCCTAATCAGCAGGACTGCTAGCAGGCATTTGGGGTTTTCAAACAATTTGTACTGATATTACTTCTGATATTTCACATTAATATGAATTATATAGGTTTTCGTACTAATTCACATTAATATGAATTATGTAGGTTAGGGAAGTTTCTTTTTATTCCTATTTGCTAAGTTTTTGTTTTGTTTTACTTTTGTTTTTGTTTTTAGATAGGGTCTCACTAGGTCACCTAAGCTGAAGTACAGTAGTGGTGGCACTATCTTGGCTCACTGCAGCCTCGACCTCCTGGGCTCAAGCAATCCTCCCACCTCAGCCTCCCGAGTGGCTGGGACTATAGGTGAGCACCACGATGCCCAATTAATTTTTGTATTTTCTGTAGAGGTGGGGTTTCACCATGTTGCCAAGCTGGTCTCAAACTCCTGGGATCAAGCGATCCTCCTGCCTTGCCCTCCCAAAGTGCTGGGATTATAGGTGTGAGCCACTGCATTCAGCCAAGAGGCTTTATCATAAGTTTTTTAAGAAATCAATGTTTGTTTTTTTTAGTTCATCAAATCACAAATGAGCACTGAATTTTATTAAGCCTATTCAATTTATTTTTCATTTCCATTATTGTATATTATATATTTACTTATCTGATGATAATGACTATTTAAAAATATTTTATGAAGTTATTTCCTTGTACATGTAATGGTTTAGATCATAATATTTTAAAACATTTGCTAAAGTATTTAAATTTTAGTTTGTCATAATTTGGTTGATGTGGTAATGTGGAGATGCGTATCCCATGAGTACGGGACTGGTTCTGGTGGAAGTCAACTGCCATGTCCCGAGGCTATTCAAACAACCCTCTGGAAAGGCCCAAGGAAGGAGCCTCTGTAAAAGGGAATTGAGGTGCCTCTTGCCAACAGCCAGTACAAATATGCCAACCCTGTGAGTGAGTGTGATGGGTTCAACTGTGTCCCCCAAAACTCCTATATTGAAGTCCTAGCCCCCAGACTTTCACGGTGTGACAGTATCTGAAGATAGGGTCTTTAAAAAGGTAATTAAGTTTAAGTGAGGTCTTTCAGGTAGGCCCAAATCTGATATGACTGGTGTCCTTATAAGAGGAGCCTGGGCAACATGGCAAGACCCCATCACTCCAAAAAAATTTTTTAAAAATTAGCCACATGTTGTGGTACACGCCTACAGTCCCAACTACTCTGGAGGCTGAGGCAGGAGGATGGTTCAAGCCCAGGAGGCTGAGGCTATAGTGAGCTATGTTTGTACCACCGTACCTCAGCCTGGGCGACAGAATGGAACCCTGTCTTGAAAAAAAAGAGGGGGGAAATGTGGACACAGACATGCACAACGAGAAGATCATATAAAGACCTAGAGAGGATATGGCTGTCTACAAGCCAAGGAGAGAGGCCTCAGAAGAAACAACCAGCAGATACCTTGATGTTGCACTTCTTGCCTCCAGAACTGTGAGGAAATAAATCTCTGTTGTTTAAGCCAACCAGTCTGTGATACTTTGTTACAGCAGCCCTAGCAAACCAAGAGTGAGCCACCTTGGAAGTAGATCCTGCAGTCCCAGTCAAGCCTTCGGATGACTGAAACTTCGGCCAATTATCTGACTGCCATCAGAGAACCCAAGCCAGAACTACCCAGCTAAGCTACTTCTAAATTCCTGACCCACAGAAACTATGTGAATTAATAAATGTTTCTTCTTATTTTAAATCACTAAGCTTTGCAGGTATTTTGTTATGCAGCAATAGATAAACACAGTGGATTAAAAACAAACAAATTAACAACAATTCTATTTCATAAGTTCAGGAATATAACATATATCATTCAGAACTCAATTTGACATTATGAATACCATCTGATTTTGAGACCTTGTTTTAAAGAAATAATAAGCCCTACTCTGCACTCAACTTTAAATGTGAAAAACAGGTCAGGAATGGTGGCTCACACCTGTAATTCCAGCACTTTGGGAGGCCAAGGTGGGTAGCTTGCTTGAGCCTGGGAAGTCAGGACTGCAGTGAGCCATGATCACACCACTGCACGCCAGCCTGGGCAACAGAGTGAGACCCCCATCTCAAAAAACACAAACAAAAACGAAAACCAACAAATAAATTTGGAAGAACATTCCAAAGATCACCTGTAGTTTTGGTCCAAATGTATTATACATATAAAAAAGGAGGCACTCATATTTTTTGGTTTATCAGTGTAGCTGGACAAGCCAGACAGTTAAAGTAATATAGAAGAAAAACAGCAGAATTCCTCTTTGGCAATGTTCTTTTCCAAGAATGACATTCCACATGAGCCAGATGCTATTTGATCTAAACTAGACCTCTTTCTGTGCTCGTATATATTCTTTTTTTTTTTGAGATGGAGTCTCCTTCTGTCACCCAGGCTGGAGTGCAGTGGTGCAATCTCAGCTCACTGCAACCTCTGCCTCCCAGGTTGAAGCGATTCTCGTGCCTCAGCCTCCTGAGTAGCTGGGATTACATGTGTGCACCACCATGCCTGGCTAATTTTTGTATTTTTAGTAGAGACAGGGTTTCACCATGTTGGCCAAGCTGGTCTCAAACTCCTGACCTCAACCCAAAGTGCTGGGATTGCAGGCATGAGCCACCGCACACAGCCTGTGTGCACGTGTGTGTGTGTGTGTGTGTGTGTGTGTGTGTGCGTGTGCACGTATATATATATATTTTTAGACGGAGTCTCACTGTATCACCCAGGCTGGAGTGCGGTGGCGCGATCTCAGCTCACTGCAACTTCCACCTCCTGGGTTCAAGCAATTCTCCTGCCTCGGCCTCCTGAGTAGCTGGGATTACAGGCGCGTGCCACCATGCCTGGCTAAGTTTTGTATTTTTAGTAGAGACAGGGTTTCACCATGTTGGCCAGGCTGGTCTCAAACTCCTAACCTCATGATCCGCCCGCCTCGGCCTCCCAAAGTGCTGGGATTACAGGCATGAGCCACCGCGCTGGCCTGTGCTGGTATATATTCTTAAGCGAGGACAGGAAAATAAAGAGCAGAGTTTTCAAAGGTGAAGTTGGCAGTGTCACACACAGTACCTTTTGATGGCCACCAGCTCCCCGGATTCATTACTCTTGCCCATAAGCACACTCCCATACGTGCCGTCCCCCAACTGTCTCATGGTTGTGTATCGGTTCATCTTGGAAAAATAATGCAGCAGAAGTTGTTGATTGAAATGACTTCCTTGTTGAATATAAATTTGAACGCTTCTTAATTTTTATTTGCTTTTGTCCTCACACTGTTGTTGCTACACTGGTGACAGGTTTGTCATCATTAAATATAGTCTCTCCCCCAAGATTACAGAGGTTCATGAGATATAGCATGAAGGAATCGGGCAAGGAAACAACACTTCCATTCTTATAAACACCCTAAAGAAAGAAAACAAGGATATCATGAATTTTCATTAACAAGTCTCTTCAAAAATTGTACTGGCAACTTAGAGCAAAGGGAAAATTATAAATAATATAAATACTATTGTGTTAAATATTTGTCAGTAAGTCATTTGTCTATGTAAAATGAAGTTCACATATAACTCACTGGTAATACTCACTTGGTAAATGCCTCATTTACATGGTACTGTGCTATTTATGTTCAATAATGGCATAATGGCTTGTATGATTCCTTTTTTACTAAATATAATCTACATTATTCCAAATCAGACCTTGGAAAATTGATGTCTATATGATATCCATTCTTTGAATCAATTTTTGTATCATATTTAATTTGGCATATTGTTTAAAACTGTACTACTTGTAAATTTTCTGTGGAATATAAGTACCCCAATTGGGTAAGGTAAGTATAAAGCAAACTTTTGTTTCATATGAAAGGAATAGCATTATTTTAAAATTTCATATTCTATTTAAATAACATGCTACTTTATTTTACATCAAACTAAGAAAAATGTAAATACTAATTAGGATTTAGTGTCACACTAGGTTCATACAAAGAAATAAGAAACATAGCCGGGCGTGGTGGCTGATGCCTGTAATCCCAGTGATTTGAGAGGCCAAGGCAGGAGGATTGTAGAGGCCAGGAGTTCAAGACCAGCCTGGGCACCATATCATGCCCTTCTTTACAAAAACTAAAAAACTAGCTGGACTTGATGGCACGCTTGTAGTCCCAGCTACTTGGGAGGCTGAGGCACGAGGATTGCTTGAGCCCAGGAGTTCAAGGTTACAGTGAGCTATGATCACACCACTAAACTCCATCCTGGGTGACAGAGTAAGACTCTGTCTCTAAAGAAAAAAAAATTTTTTAATAAATAAAAAGGGAAGTAGAGCCTGAAGATGTGACTGAAATGTTGTAACCTCATAATCAAACTTGAATGAATGAGGAAGTGTTTCTTATGGATGAACAAAGAAACTGTTTTATTGAGATGGAATCTACTTCTGGTAGAGATGCTATTAACACTGCTGAAAAGACAAAAAAGAATTTTTTTCTTTTTTTGAGACAGAGTGAGACTCTGGTTGGAGTGCAGTGGCACAATCTTGGCTCACTGTAACCTCCGCCTCCCAGGTTCAAGTGATTTTTGTCCCTGAGTCCTCACCCCTGTCACCATCACTCCCCCAGTAGCTGGGATTACAGGTGCCCACCCCGACCCCCAGTAGCTGGGATTACAGGTGCGCACCACCACACCTGGCTAATTTTTGTATTTTTAGTAGAGATGGGGTTTCACCATGTTGGCCAAGCTGGTCTCGAACTCCTGGCCTCAGCGATCCGCCCGCCTCGGCGGGATTACAGGCATGAACCAGTGCCCAGTCAAGAACAAAGGATTTAGAATATTACATAAACTGAGTTGACAAAGCAGTGGCAGGATGTGAGAAGACTGACTTCAATTTTGAAAGAAGTTCTACTGTAAGTAAAATGCTATCAAACAGTCTCACATATTACAGAGAAATCTTTTATGAAAAGTCTGTCAATGTAGCAAATACCATTGTTGTCTCATTTTGAGAAATGGTTACAGCCATCTCAACCTTCAGCAGCCACCACCCTGATCGGTCAGCAGCCATCAACACAGAGGCAAAGCCCTCCACCAGCAAAAAGACTATGACTCACTGAAGGCTCAGATAATCAGCATTTTTTAGCAATAAGATTTTTTTTTTTGACAGCCTCCCATGTAGCTGGGACTATAGGCGCAAGCTACTACACCCAGCTATTTTTTGTAATTTTAGTAGAAACAGGGTTTCACCACGTTGGACAGGCTGGTCTCAAACTCCTGACCTCAAGTGATCCACCTGCCTCCACCTCCCGATGTGTTGGGATTACAGGTGTGAGCTACTGCTCCCGGCCACAATAAGATATTTTTAAATTAAGGTATGTATGTTATTTTTTCTAGACAAAATGCTATTGTATACTAAATAGACTACAGTATAATGTAAACATAATTTGCATATGTACTTTAAACCCAAAAACATGTGTGACTTGCTTTATTGCAATATTCACTTTATTGCCGTGGTCTGGAGCTAAACCCACAGTATCTCCGAGGTGTGTATGTAGTTTGTTTTAAAGTACCTTTTATGACTTAGTTCTTCATTCAAAGAATATTTTTCTCTCACTGGAGCACTTTCATTTAAATCATAGAAATTGCTCCTCTATTATTTGCAGGAATTTAAGACCAACAAGGGCACGTTATAGTTGTCAAAATACTTAAGATTTCCCAAAACAGCCTTTCCGGGAAAAGAAACATAAACATGAGCAGACATAAACGTGCAGAGCAGCACAGTAAAGTTATGTTGTTTCCTATTTACAGGAACGTATCTGTTCACAGAAAACTTGAGAAGAATCCTGTGGGGCTTTTAATAATACGGAGTGTGGGCTGGGCGCCCTGGCTCATCCCTGTAATCCCAACGCTTTGGGAGGCCAAGACGGGTGGATCACCTGAGGTCAGGTGTTTGAGACCAGCCTGACCAACGTGGTGAAACTTCATCTCTACTAAAAATACAGAAATTAGCTGGGTGTGGTGGCGCAGGCCTGTAGCCCTAGTTACTAAGGAGGCTGAGGTAGGAGAATCACTTGAACCTGGGAGGCGGAGGTTGCAGTGAGCCAAGATTGCACCACTGCACTCCCACCTGGGCAACAGTGCGAGACTCTGTCTCAAAATAATAATAATAATAATAATAATAATAATAATAGGGAGTACGTATTTAACATTTATCTTACTTCATGTAGGTAACAATCCCTTCAAAGGCACATATAAAATAATTTAGGCTAGCTAACTCCATGGCCAGGATCTTGAAAAAGAGAACATGACAGCAGATTCCATCTCTATTTAGGGGTTTCTTCCTTTTTGTCAGATTAAGCCCGAGCTAATAATCATAAGTACCAGCAAATGGTTCCCCATTTGCCTGAAAAAGAATAGTTTTGTAAGTCATTGTCACCTTATTCATAGACACTGATTCCAAATATTAAGGTGTTAATATAGAGAAAGGCAGTCTCTCTCTCTGCACGGTTCCTAATCAAAACATGAATTTGCTTTTCTTCATTTTGCCTTTATCTGTATAAGCAAATATAATTTGGAAAAATCTTTTGGGTTGTTTTGTTTTGTACTACGTTAAACAAAACATGGACTAAAATATATTTCTTCTCATTTAGGATTTTATTAAATCAGTATTTTGCAATTTATCACCAGCATATTCAATTGCTGTACACTCTTTTCTAGCTAGCCTATTTAAGGTGACATATATCTATCTCTTTTAGGAAATATGTGATCTCTAGGTTTACTGATTCTTTCTGATTAAGTAAGCATAAAGAGAATATATTTGCACAAAAGGCCATCATGTTCCTTATGACAGTAAGATCATAAAATAAAAACATGGAAGGATTAAATGACCTGTCTAGGATCAACTAGAGAATCAACGATGGAGTCAATCCAATAGTTGCATTTGGCTTGATGTTGTTGGTTTTTCAGGGTCGTCTCCAACTTCTAAACAAGCCATTCTTATGAACTGGTGCCAGCTCTTACTATCCCTAATGAGGCTAAAGAAATCATCCTCTTTGCTCCAAAACCACACAGACTAAGCTCCACAACTCAAGCCACCTACCCCAACCTCCACCTTAAGATTCCTAATGCAGCTCTTCACTCAAACACTAAGATATTGCTGACTACCTGGAAAGTGAAGTGGGACTACTCCATATCCTGACTAAACCCTAATGCTACATCTGGGTCATTCAGACCAGTGAAAAATAACAGAAACAGTGAAGGGAAAGAGTGAGACCTTAGAACTTGAATGGTTAAGGGAGAAAGAATCTAGGTGGTGCTCCTCTCATGAAAATTATTATTATTATTATTATTATTGTTTGAGACAGAGTCTCACTCTGTGCCAGGTCCGACCCGCAGACCCTGGCTGAATGACAGATCAAAGAATGCACTCAGACACAGGTATCCAGTGAAAGAGCGGGCTAGGGGACCGGGCAGCACACAGACCCCAGGAGGGTGCTGTAAACCGTGGCCCTGCTCAGCTGGCGCTGTGGGCATTTATTCAGCACAGATTTAATGACAAAGGCTTTGAGTTAACACACTTGTGGGTAATTAACATGGTCGCACCGCTCCCCCGCCCCACGCAGTCCTGCGTCTGGATGATTAAAGGCCAGGTTCTGAGGCCTAAGTAAACTAACTTATCTAGATTAGTTTCTTTACATCCCCTTGTTATCTAACCTAAGCTCTTAAGAGAATTCAGCTGCCTTCAGCCAAATTTTCTTTTGAAGCTTTGCAAACCCCTGGCCTTCCAAGAAGGTTTGCATCTTTCTACGATTTTTCCCACCACCCTGACCAATCTCCTACAGCTCGGATGCCCAGGCTGGAGTGTGGTGGCGTTATCTCTGCTCACTGCAACCTCCGCCTCCCAGGTTCAAGGGACTCTCCTGCCTCAGCCTCCTGAGTAGCTGGGATTACAGGCGCGTGCCACCATGCCCGGCTAATTTCTGTATTTTTAGTAGAGACAGGGTTTTACCACGTTGGCCAGGCTGGTCTTGAACTCCTGACCTCATGTGATCCACCTGCCTCGGCCTCCCAAAGTGCTGGGGTTTATAGGCGTGAGCCACTGCGCCCAGCCATGAAAATTATTTAATTCAGAAACATAATGGTATGATAGCATCATCTTTTCTTTTAACCAAATTATTTTCATGTTAACACCTAACCAAGGACAAGCATTTGAGGGTCTAAAAGGTAGAAAAGTAATGCAGACAATTCTGAAAAAGGACATATGACTTGAGAAGGGAATGGAAGAGGGAGCTGCCTCTGGTTGCATGGTAATGATGGTAGCGAGTGTTATTCAGGAAGTGGAAACACAAAGAGTGACAAAAAAATCACCTTCATTGGCCCAACAATCTAAAAATTAAGAATTAATTACACCTCTCTCTTCCACTATTAAGGCCATCAGCCACCCCCATCACCACCGCCCTGGGGTGGGAGGGTGACCTGAAGCTGCACCAGCACTATCAGCACAATAGAGCATTCAGTCACTGATGACTTTCGACCCAAGCCTGCGTGCACAGTCTCTTTGCGAGTGGCTATTTTGGCAACTTCATTCCAAGCCTAACCAATCAACTTCTGAATAAACACCGGCAACACCAATTGTCTTTCAACGGATGATGGCTATAGGATAGGGTGTACTTATATTGAGGGAAGAATAAGCAAGGAACACGACCATTTCCCAGCTCCTTTCTGTTTGAGGGGTGGAGTGTTGAGGATTACGGACGTGACATAGATTTTTAAAAGGTCAGATTAGTGGTTCTGTGAGGATCTGTCCCATTTAAGCCCTACCTAACCTTTAAGTAAAACAACTTTACATACTGCGCTCCCTAAGAAAAAACTTTGGAAAGGCTTCTTTTGAACTACATTAATTACAAAATCAACAGCTGCCCAGGGTGAGACGCTGATCATTGCAACTGTTCCTTCTATCCCCTGAACATACAATTGTCTAATGTAGAGACATAGACATCAAGGTAAAGCTTTTAAAAAATCATTATTCCATGTCCCTGCTCCCTGATAGCACATAAGCAACTACTTTTATCAATGTGGCATAGCAACTACTGATTACTAATCAAAAAGCAGTCTATGTTCCTTAAACACAGGCTTCCCATGGTTCTCCAGTTCACGCACAATAATATTTCTCTACAAGTTACATATATTCTTCTCTGTTGACCTATGGAAAACTAATCTACAAAATAGGAATATATTAACACAGTTTCTTATGTACATGAATATATATAGATATGATACATATGCAACAAAAAACCCAAGTAAATATAACTATCATCCTCAATTTAACAGAATTGTTAAAAACTTGGAATTTTCTACAATCAAGCTATAACATTTATTGACCTTCCTATGGGTTAAAGAAAAAGATGCTTATTTAGAGGCTTAATTATAGACCTACACAAAAATAAATACCCTTATAATTTATCTCTCATTCTAGTTTTCAACTTTTTAATCTAAGTTCATAATTACCGTTTCTCTAAGTGCACAATTGTTGTAAATATAGCCTTTACTCTCAACAGCTTTTGCCAGCTAATAAGAGATTCAGATAGGATTAAAGAAGATTAGCAAAGAGGGCAAATGAAGGGTAAAACAAGCGTCTGCCAAAAACTGAAGAGATAAGGCTTGGATGTCTTCAACGTGGCTTTCTAGAACATATTATGTCACTCCGAGGCTGGCTTAACGCTTCTAATACACAACAAAAGAGTAATTAACGTTTTAAAAGTCACCAAACTCTTTAAAAAGCAACGCAGGAAAAAAAGATCCCAAACTAACCAAGTCGAAGTTTTACAGAAATTAAATGAGCTATTACAATGGGAAAACAAAGACTGTATCTTAAAATATAAAAGCACAGTTCTCTGTGCTCATATTCACAAATTATTTCAAAGCTTATACACAAAAAAAGTCCACCCCGACGAAGAGATTAAACGTCCTGCCCGGTGCCTGCAGTGGAAGCAGGCGGTGGCGCGGTTGGGGGAACTTTCTCCCTCCCGGTCAAGCCTCGGGAATTGAAGGGCCGGGGAGGCGGGGCCCGATCGAAAAGCTGGAAAGTCACTTTTGTTTTCACCATTATTTCACTTAATGGGTTGTGTTTCTGAATAAATAAAGTCAGATAACTTTGGCTTCCCTCTTTGAGAATTCCGTTATCATTAGAACAAATGTCTGTTTCTTTTAAACGATTATCTAACCACATTTGCATACAGCTCTTTCCTTGTAGGATTGAGATTACTAACCACTAAAAACCAGTTTTATTGCTCTCGACACCGCACTCTCGACCTGTCCCTAAATTAAAACGGATTACTTGCAGAAAAGGGACAGTTTTCGTCACACACTTTCTGATCCGACTCTGCAAACCAGGGCTCTTAAAAGGCTCCAGGGACCGCGTGGTGGAAGGAGGGGGCGTCCCCGGGCGCCGGGAGTCCGGCGCCGTTGGGGGGGACGGGGGTGTGCGGAATTCCACTTTCACCTGAGCGTCCTTTGGGATGCACCAGCGAGGGCTGGAGTCGGACCTAATTCCTGTTTTTCTCCCTCCTTTTAGATTTTGCAACAGTTCTGAACTCAGTTCCGCTGCCTCCCTGAGACCCAATCCTGCCTCTCTGTCCTAAAAACAGTTTCCACCGCCAGCCCAAGCAGCAGGGGAGCAGAGGTGGGAGATCCCGGAGGAGAGTTTAGGGGCGGGGGTCTCAGGCTAAGGGACGCCCGGCCGTCATCCTCCCACGCCAGGCCGGCCCCCGCGGTCCAGGAGGCGGGAAAGTGGTCAAGAGGTCTGGGAGACACCGACCGCCTTCCCTCGGGCTGACCACTCCCGCCCGCTCCGCCCCTCCGGGGACCCTCCTCCCTCCAGTCCTTCCCCTACCGGCGTCAGGGACCGGTCTCCGGGCGGAGATTGGCCCTGGTAGCACAGGGCGCCGAGGGGACATGCCCGGCCAGCCTCGCAGGTCGGGCTCCGGCTGGGTCGGACAGAGGGTGGTGGCCCTGCAGCCCGCTGGGGATTACCTGTCCGCGCCTGCTGCTTACCTCGTTCGCTCCCTTGTGAAGCTCCGGCGTCTTGTGTGTTTCATCTCCTAGGAAACGGCGGGGGCAGCAGGCGGGCCTACGGCCGGCCCAGAGAGGGCGTGGCCTCGCGGGAAATCCCCGCCAATTCCCGCAGGCCCCGCCTTCCCCGGGGCGGGGCTTCATGGAGCCGGGGGACTGTCGGCTGAGCTGCAGCAAGTGTGCCATTTAGACTTGGGGTTTAGGGGAGTTGATTACCTTTTCAGTCAGGTCTTTGTCAGAAGTTGGTTTGTTTGCCCTTTATTTTGTTTTGGTTTTGTTCCGATTCATTCTACAAAGTCTTGATTAATTAAAATATGGTTCCCAGACCGGGCAGAGCAAGAGAAGGAAGTCTGTTTGCCTCATACTTGCACTTGTTTACTTGTGCCTGGGGAAAAACTGTTCTTGTATGCAGTTCCTTAAATTGGTCAATTCCTTGGGTATGTATTACCTCTTGAGCTGCCCTTCTAAGTTTGTTTCCATTTATTCATTCAGAGAACCTGCCTAGTATCAGCCACAGAGTTAGATAGTGGTAATTCCAAGAAAAATGACTGAATGTGTGAATAAATGGGTAAATTGTAACTAGTCTAGAATTTAGAGAGGAAGGCACACTTGTGTTACTGCAAATAGTTCAGATTGGCTGGCAAAAAGGGTCTACGAAACAGAAACATAAGTGATGAAGCAGTGGTGCGGCAAGTTAGTAATTATTAGGTGTCAGGATGTGGGCTTGGGACCAAGAATAGCGCCAAGGTAGACACGACAGACATGCCTGTGGCCCTCACAGCTTAAAGTGAAGTAGGCTTTCACGCGTATGTTTATGGCAGCACAATTCACAATTGCAAAGATGTGGAACCAATCTAAGTGCCCATTGACTAATGAGTGGATAAAGAAAATGTGGTATATATACACCATAGGCTGCTACTCAGTCACAAAAAAAGAATGAAATAATGTCTTTTGCAACAACTTGGAAGAGTGGGAGGTCCTTATTCTACGCAAAGTAATACAGGCGTGGAAAACCAAAAACTGTATGTTCTCACTTATAAGCAAAAGCCAAGCTATGAGTATGCAAAGGCATACACAGTGAAATAATGGACTTTGGAGACTCAGAAAGGGGAGGATGGGAGAGAGCCTAGGGATAAAAAAAACTATGCACTAGGTACCATATACACTACTCAGATGATGGGTGCACTAAAATCTCAGAATTCACCACTATATAATTCATCTATGTAACAAAAAACCACTTGTACCCCAAGAGCTATTGAAATAAACATTTAAAAACAGACGGGGCTCAGTGGCTCATGCCTGTAATCCCAGCACTTTGGGAGGCCCAGGTGAGTGGCTCACCTGAGGTCAGGAGTTCAAGACCAGCCTGGCCAACATGGTGAAACCCCATCTCTACTAAAAATACAAAAAATATCTGGGTGTGGTGGCACATGCCTGTAATCCCAGCTACTCGGGAGGCTGAGGCAGGAGAATCACTTGAACCCAGGAGGCAGAGGTTGCAGTGAGCGGAGAACGTGCCACTGCACTCCAGCCTGGGTGACTGAGCAAGACTCTGTCTCAAAATAATAATAATAATAAATGGCCAGGCGCGGTGGCTCATGCCTGTAATCCCAGCACTTTGGGAGGCCGAGGTGGGCGGATCACCTGAGGTCGGGAGTTTGAGACCAGTCTGACCAACCTGGAGAAACCCCATCTCTACTAAAATGCTAAAACTACAAAAAATTAGCCAGGCGTGGTGGCGCATGCCTGTAATCCCAGCTACTTGGGAGGCTGAGGTAGGAGAATAGCTTGAACCCAGGAGGCGGAGGTTGCAGTGAGCTGAGATCACACCATTGCACTCCAGCCTGGGCAGCAAAAGCAAAACTCCGTCTCAATAATAATAATAATAAATAAAAGATTCATTGCTCTCCAATAAATAAGTGAAGTAGGCAGGCAAAGTAAAAAGCATAAGTTAGATAGGTCATAGCAGCTTTATATACCCAGTTATGAAGCCTAAGCTTTAACATGTGTCAATGAGGAAGACCAGTGAAGAATCTCCCACAGAAGAGTGACATGTTCACATTTGCATTTCAGAAAGATCCCAAGAGGAGCAGTGGGTAGGGTGGATTTGAGCTGCAAGTCTGGAGGCAAGAGAAAGATTGGGAGTCTTTCTCCCAACTGACTGGGAAGAAATGATAAGGATCCAACTCTAGCAGTGATGATGGAAATAGGACAGAGAAAGACAGAATTCAAGGGATGTTTAGGAGTTAAAATCGGCAGGACCATCAGGCTTAGATGACTGGTGGATAGTGGTATCCATGACCAAGTTGGAAAATAATAGAGGAGGAGCTGATTTAGGGATGGAGGATGTGAGAGATAACAAGCCCAGTTTTGAAATTTTTGAATTGAGAAAAATCCTTATGCAGATTACAAGAAGGGAGTTTGTAATATAGATTTGCAACTTAGGGTTCTTTTAGAGCTAGAAATACAGATATGTTGGGATACTGTGGATGAAATCATGGATATAGATGAAATAAACAGTAAGAAGAAAGAAGGGATGGGATTCTGGAAAACTCCATCCTCTAAAGAGTGGAGAAAGAAAGAGTAGGGGTGAGGAAGAGACAGACTGAAAAAAGAAAAGTCAGGGAAGTAGTAGGAGATCCCTCAGAAAAATGATATTTCAGAATGAGGAAAGGTAGGTTTCCCAAAAGAAAGAGAAAGAGAAAGGAAGGAAGGAAAGAGAGAGAAAACAAAAAGAGGACAAACAGCATTTATTCCTTCTGAAGAACTCTTCTGTTTTAAAACAAGTAGAGCATGCACAAAACATATTTTTTGTCACGTTTCACAATAGAAGAATAAAAATTCTCCAAGCACTCCTAACCCCTTCTAAAAAGTACCTAATATCTGAGCAGAGCAGTGAACGTACCTGAAAGGCAAAGGTGGCCCAAAGGCAAATCCCATTTCAGCATTTCAACCAGCTGACGAAGCCTTGGACCCGTGGCAATAGGGCTGAGCTGGACCAGGGACTAGAAAATCAACCAGGGGAGCTTAGAAGGGGTCAAAGTGGTCCCAGGTCAGGAGCATCATCTGGATCCCAAAGGAAACAAACACAATCATCTCTGAAGAAGGCATCCTCAACTTAGGCCTCTAGGTTTTTCAAAAAATATGAGCTCATGACCACAGAGGAATGAACACCGTCAAATGAGAATCTAGAAAAAGCAACAATTATTCAGACTTTCCAGGATTTCTGAAATTGGAAAAATCAGCTTGAATACAAAATAGCTATGTATGAAATATATACAGAAATAGAAGAAGGAATAGCAAAAATGAACAGAAATCAATCAGGAATATTAGAAAAAGAATTAAATAAACTGTTAGAAAGAAACGTAACTATTGAAACTTTAAAAATGAGTTACATGTTATATTAGAACAAAAGAAAGAATTAGGGAATTGGCACAAAATCTGCAGAAAGTACCTAGAATATAGCATATAAAAGATAAGAAGATGAGAAATACTAATGAGAAATTAAGAGATACGATGGATAAAATAAAGTCTAACATGGGTCTAAATAAATTCTAAGAAGTAGATTTGTTGTTGATAATGCATTGCTACAGTAGTTCTTTTTTTTGTTTGAGATGGGGTTTCACTCTGTCGCCCAGGCTGGAGTGCAGTGGTGTGATCTCGGCTCTCTGCAACCTCCACCTCCCGAGTTCAAGCAATTCTCCTGCCTCAGCCTCCCGAGTAGCTGGGACTACAGGCACACACCACCGTGCCCATCTAATTTTTGTATTTTTAGTAGAGATGGGGTTTCACCATATTGGTCAGGTTGATCTTGAACTCCTGACCTCAGCTGATCCACCCACCTCGGCCTCCCAAAGTGCTGGGATTACAGGCATGAGCCACCATGCCTGGCCAGCTGCAGTTCTAGTAAAATTTATCTATATGGTAGAATCAAGCAAATATTGATACTGTTGAAAATCAGAGTTCTTATTTGGGAGAAGAGAGATAAAGATGTAGAATGGAGAAAGAAGAGGAAGAATCTGTGGTGTCAGTTTTGACTTGGAGGTAGCAAGATTAACACATGACTTACTAAAAAGTGCTTCCTAGCTCTGTTCACTGAAAGGATCTAGAAACAATGACACTACAGTAACAGTGAACAGATTAACACCCAAGTCCCGGTTTTGTAATACTATTATTTACTTAAAGGAAACAGAACTCCTTGGAGAAGTGGCTGATTCCATGACTGGGGCAAGGAAAGTCCAAGGTAGTCTTAAAATGTATCATGCACACCCAGCAAAGGTTAAAGATCCTATTTCACCAAGCCACTGAGCACTACAAGGACTTTATAATTCTTTAATTCAGATTACCCATTCAATTTATGTGCTAATGTCATCTAATATTTTAGTTTATATTTATAACCCTATAGATTGGTCTGTTATTTTACATTCAGAGTATTTGTACATTGATACATGTGATGATGTCTTTGCTCATCTTATCTTTCTGTACCTCAGACCTTCCTCCTGGGATTACCTTCCTTCATCCTAAAGTATAGCCTTTAGAAGTTCCTTTACAGTAGGTCTGTTCGTGGTAAAATGTTGCACTTGCTTTTTGTTTTTGTTTTAATTTATTTTTTTTGACGGGGTCTTGCTGTGTCACCCAGGCTGGAGTGCAATGGTACGATCTCGGGTCACTGCAAGCTCGGTCTCCTGGGTTCACGCCATTCTCCTGCCTCAGCCTCCCGAGTAGCTGGGACTACAGGTGCCCGCCACCACGCCCAGCTAAATTTTTGTATTTTTAGTAGAGACGGGGTTTCACTTTGTTAGCCAGGATGGTCTCGATCTCCTGACCTCATGATCCACCCACCTCAGCCTCCCAAAGTGCTGGGATTACAGACATGAGCCACTGTGCCCGGCTTTGTTTTTATTTTTAAAAAATCTCTATTTGTCCTTGCTCTTGCAACATGGTTTTCTTAGGTACAATTCTAGTAGTTTGAGAGTTATTACTTCTCAGTACCATGAGGGGAAATTTTCGTTTGAACAGAAATGTTCATTTCATCTTCCAGCATCCATTTTTACTTTTGAGAAGTCTGCTGTGGTTTAATTGCCACTCCTTTGTAGGTCATCTCTCTTTTCTCTCTGGTACTTTTAAGTTTGCTTTGTTCTGGCACTCTACAGTTTTACTACTTTGTGTCTAGATGTGAATATCTTCTTACTTGCCCTGCTTGGTATTATCTGTGCTTCTTAGATCTGTGGATTTATGTCTTTAACTAGTTGTAGAAAATAGCCATGATTTTGCAAAAATAGTCTCTCCTTTATTCTTTCTGCTGCTTAGAATTTATTTAGACCTATGTTAGGCTTTCTCATTTTATCCTAAATTCAAGATTTCTTTTCAATTTAATTTGTCCTTAGATTATATGCCACTGAGGGTGTACTGTCAGAATATTGTTTTCAGGCCGGGTGTGGTGGCTCATGACTGTAATCCCAGCACTTTGGGAGGCTGAGATGGGTGGATCACCTGAAATCAGGAGTTTGAGACCAGCCTGGCCAACATGGTGAAATCCTGTCTCTACTACAAATAAAAAAATTAGCTGGGCATGGTGGTGGGTGCCTGTAATCCCAGCTACTTGAGAGGCTGAAGCAGGAGAATCTCTTGAAGCTGGGAGGCAGAGATTGCAGTGAGCCGAGATCGTACCATTGTACTCCAGCTTAGGGGACAAGAGCAAAACTCCATCTCTGGGGGAAAAAAAAAAAAAGAAAAATATTGTTTTCTAACACTACTTCAAATTTTGCACTTGGAAAAATACAAACTATTTGACAAATGACATAATGAGTAACCATATGAAAAAAATTAAAATTTGACCTTTTTTTCTTCCTAAGTTTAAAGATGTATCTACTAGCTCAATTTGAAATAATCTGAACATGAAAAAGAATAATGATGGTAATAAACTATACTACATTTAAATTTTTAAATTTTTTTTTCAAAAAAATAAAAAATAGAAAAAAATAAAATATAAAAAAGTAAAAAAACAAAAAATTATTTTTTAAAATTGATAAGTAAAAATTGTATATATTTGTGTTATACCATATAATATTTTGATACATGTATACATTGTGTAATGCTTAATCAAGTTATTTAACATAAGCATTACCTCACATACTTACCACTTTTGTGTATGTGCTGAGAACACAAAATCTACTGTTTCAGTACTTTTCAGGTGTACGGTATAGCGTTATCAATTATAGTCACCATGATGAACAATAAATCTCTTCAATTTATTCTCCTATCTAACTGAAATTTTGTATCCTTTGACCAACATCTCCCAAGTCATCGCACCCCCCAGCCTCTGGTAACCACCATTTTACTATCTATTTCTATGAGTTTAACTTTTTCACACTCCACATATAAATGAGATAATGTGGTGATTGTCTTTTTTTTTTTTTTTTTTTTGAGATGGAGCCTCACTTTGTTGCTCAGGCTGGAGTGCAATGGTGCAATCTTGGCTCACTGCAAACTCCAACTCCACCTCCCAGGTTCAAGTGATTCTCAAACCTCAGCATTCTGAGTAGCTGGGATTACAGGTGCTCATCACCACACCCTGATGATTTTTGTATTTTTAGTAGAGACGGGGTTTCACCATATTGGCTAGGTTGGTCTTGAACTCCTGACCTCAAGTGATCCGCCTCCCTGGGCCTCTCAAAGTGCTGGAATTACAGGTCTGAGCCACTGCGCCTGGCCTGATATTTGTCTTTCTATATCTGGTTTATTATCACTTAACATAATGCCCTCCAGGTTCATCCATGTTGCAAATGACAAGATATACATAATACATAACGGAAGACTATTCAGCCTTAAATGATACCACATTGAACAAAAAATTGTAGCACTCAACATATAGCTCGATTCTTCACTTCCTTTTAGTCTTTATTCAAAACATCACTTTCTCAGTGAAGCCTTCTCTAGACACCCTCTACTACTCCACTGCTGACACTTCATGCATACCCCTTGGCTTAATTTTCTTCTTAATATATACTATATTTTACCACTTTCTGTTTATTTTCTGCTTCCCCCACTGGAATGTAAGCTCCCTGAAGGCAGAGATTTATGTCTGTCTTGGTTGCTCATATATCTATCCCTGAAACAGTGCCCGGCATATACCAGGTGCACAATAAATATTTATTGAATGAATAAATGACTGTTTCTTCCACCTGCTCTCTGGAGAATGAATTGTAGAGAGGCAAGTGGGAGGCAGGCAGTGAGACAAGTTAGGGGGCATATTCAGTTTGCACAGTTAAGCTGTGATGGTGTATTGGAGAAGTGGACAGCAGTGGAGACAGAGGGAAGCAATGTGGCATCCAGCCACAAATCAATCCTTAGATAGAGTCCATCGGCAGTTTGAATTCTTAGAAACTTTAGAAGTGCAAGTGTTTGCTTGGAACCTCCTGTGACAGAACTCACTACCTCCTCCAATCCCAGCTTGAGATGGGTCTGATTGCTGAAACTGCCCTCCTTCTATTGAATGGTAATATGTCACTTTGCAGTTCCCGAGTTTTACCCATTGTGATCTGTAGTGGACCTCTTATTTTTGCCCGTCCAGCATCTACCTGCCCTGTCAGGTATTCCCCCAGTTTTTTGTTTGTTTGTTTTTGAGATGGAGTCTCACTCTGTCACTCAGGCTGGAGTGCAGTGGCACGATATCGGCCCACTGCAGCCACCGTCTCCCTGGTTCAAACGATTCTTCTGCCTCAGCCTCCCAAGCAGCTGGGATCACAGGCACGCACCACTACGCCCGGCTAATTTTTGTGTTTTTAGTAGAGATGGGGTCTCACCATATTGGCCAGACTGGTCTCAAACTCCTGATCTCAAATGATCTGCCCGCCTCTCGGCCTCCCATAGTACTGGGATTAGAAGCATGAGCCACCGTGCCTGGCCCTTCCCCCAGTTTTCTTTGGGCAGACACCCCTGACCCACTTGGCTATGTGGCTCAGTTTCAGAGATGGGCATGTGAGCCACTCAGAGTCTCAGCGTGGCTTACACAGATGGCAACATGATTCCAAGCTACTGGGAAAGACAAACTCCCCTTCTGCTAGGGACACTTAGCAGTACCATGAAGGCCCAGAGTGGCTGGGGGCCAGCTTTGCTGCACAGGGACAGCCTTCCTGAAAAGGAACAAGGAAGAACACAGAGCTGGGAGGGACTGACATAGTTTCCAGATGTCAGCACTGGAGCATCTGGACAGAGCCACGCAGGTATCTATTCCCAGTCTCTTCAATGACAAGGGTCAGAAAATTCCTTTTTTTGCTTAGTCCTTTGATTTTCATTTCCACTTGCAATTGAAAGTGATTCTGGCCTGGCGCAGTGGCTCACGCCTGTAATCCCAGCACTTTGGGAGGCTGAGGCGGGCAGATCACCTGAGGTCAGGAGTTCGAGACCAGCCTGGCCAACATGGTGAAACCCCGTCTCTACTAAAAATACAATAATTAGCCAGGTGTGGTGGCACACGCCTATAATCCCAGCTACTCAGGAGGCTGAGGCAGGAGAATTGCTTGAGCCTGGGAGATAGAGGTTGCAGTGAGCTGAGATCGTGCCACTATACTCCAGCCTGGCTGACAGAGCAAGACTCTGTCTCAAAAAAAAAAAAAAAAAAAAGTGTTTCTAATCGTATAGGGCCATAGAGAAGATTTACTTTTCCCTCCTACATGTTAACCCTTCCAGTATTTGAAGTTAGCTGTCCCATCTCTCCACTTAAGGACTGATTTGTGATTGGACACCATCCCAGAATTGTAGGGTAAAGGGTCTTTCCTTAGCAAGTCCAGACTTCCATCTCATGCTTGAATTCCCTACCAAGCCTCAATGCCAAGTGTGTGGACCTGACACTCAGTCAGTGACTGAAGGACCAGAACATTCACGGTTCAATTCATTTTTTAGTATGCTGTACTCTCTAGCTTTTCCCTCAGCTCCCAACTCTGATCCAACTACCATCAAATGACGTGTTTGTGGGTTAAATTATTTTCTAAAGAAACGTATCAACTATTATATAATCTCATGTTCAAATTTTACTCCTAAATTCAAAATACGTTTCATATGGTTATAATTCTAAGAATAAACCTCCACATACTCATATAAGAGTTTACCTGGGTGAGAATTCTCATCTCCTTTGCAGTCAGTTCTGTAGAGTAGCCAGTTACTGGTGTTTTTTGTTTTTTTTAATTGATGTTGGTTCAGGCTAAATACATTTGTCACAATTATTACTTAGAAGATACCAGTATAAGAAAAATCTTTTAGAAAAAGTAAAAAAAAAAAAAAGAATCTGAGCATGATTTATCTGCTATACCATGAATCATCACAAGGTAGCAGTGTTCTATGATACTGCAATTCTGAAAACAATTTACAATAGCCTGTCTTATTAAGAAAATCAGTGTTTTGACAATTTATGGTTTCCTTGATTAGGAAACTAGGAATTTGAATTCCACTTGACCGTTTTTTTTTGTTGTTTTTTTGGTTTTTTTTTTTGAGCCGGAGTCTCACTTTTTTGCCCAAGCTGGAGTGCAGTGGCACGATCTCAGCTCACTGCAACCTCCACCTCCTAGGTTCAAGCAATTCTCCTGCCTCAGCCTCCTGAGTAGCTGGGATCACAGGAACCCAGCACCACGCCGGACTAATTTTTGTATTTTTAGTAGAGACGAAGTTTCACCACGTTAGCCAGGCTGGTCTTGAACTCCTGACCTCAGGTGATCAGCCTGTCTTGGCCTTCCAAAGTGCTGGGATTACAGGCGTGAGCCACCGCGTCTGGCCTTTTTTTTTTTTTTTTTTCCTTGAGGCAGAGTCTCGCTCTGTCGCCCAGGCTGGAGTGCAGTGGCACCATCTCGGCTCATTGCAACTTCCACCTCCCGGGTTCAAGCAATTCTCCTGCCTCAGCCTCCTGAGTAGCTGGGATTACAGGCAACTGCCACCACGCCTGGCTAATTTTTAGTTGTAATTTTAGTTGTGACGAGGTTTCACCATGTTGGCCAGGCTGGTCTCGAACTGACCTCAAGTGATCCACCCACCTAGATTACAGGCGTCAGTGATCACACCCAGCCATTGAGCTCTTATTAATACCTAATGACTTGTGAGCAATTTTAACAATGAACAGCTAAGTAAATACTAAAGAAAATATTAAAGCATATCAGGTAATTTTTTCTTTACTGATCCACTTTATTATTTCACTTTATAAGTAATACATAACAACATAATATTAGAAGACATAATAAAAATCACATATCTCACCACTGCTAACATTTTGGTGTATGCCATTTAAAAGTTTGAAATAAACTTGTTAATTTTAGAATAGTTTTAGATTTACAGAAAAATTCCAAAGATAGTACAGAGAATTGCCCTATATCCTGCAGCCAGTTTCCCCATTGTCAAGCATCTTACATTCCTATGCTACATTTGTCACAACAAATGAAGCAATATCAATACATTATCATTAACTAAAGTCCATACTTTATTCAGATTTCCTTAGTATCTGAATAAATTGCCTTATGTCCAATTTCTGTTCCAGTAGCTCACCTAGAATATTACATTATGTTTACTTGTCTTTATGGAGGTTTCTCAAAAAAAAATTACACTGGGCACGGTGGCTCACACCTGTAATCCCAGCACTTTGGGAAGCCGAGGTGGGTGGATCACCTGAGGTCAGGAGTTCGAGACCAGCCTGGCCAACGTGGTGAAACCTCGTCACAACTAAAAATACAACTAAAAATTAGCCAGGCATGGTGGCAGGTGCCTGTAATCCCAGCTACTCAGGAGGCTGAAGCAGGAGAATTGCTTGAACCCAGGAGGCGGAGGTTGCAGTGAGCCGAGATCGTGCCATTGCACTCCAGCCTGGGCCACAGAGTGAGACTCCATCTCAAAGAAAAAAAAAAATTAAAAACAGAAATACTATATGATCCAGCAATCCCACTTCTGAGCACGTATCCAAAATAATTGAAATCAGGATGTTGAAGCGATACCTGCATTCCCATACTCACTGCATCCTTATTCACAATAGCCAAGATACAGAAACAATGTAAATGTCCATCAACGGATACATGGATAAAGAAAATGTGGTATATATGTAAATTGAATCAGCCATAAAAAAAAGGAAATCCTGCCATGTGCCACATAGGGATGAACCTGGAGAACATTACGCTAACTGAAATAAGCCAGTCACAGAAGGACAAATACTGCATGATTCCATTTAGATGAGGTAACTACAATACGGGCTGGCTGAGGGTGGCTCACATCTGTTATCCCAGCACTTTGAGAGGCCAATGGGGGAGGATCACTTGAGCCCAGGAGTTCAAGACCAGCCTAGGCAACATAGTGAGATCCCCATCTTTACAAAAAATAAAAAAATTAGCCTGGTGTGGTCGTTCATGCCTACAGTCCCAGCCACTCGGGAGGCTGAGGCTGGAGGCTCACTTGAGCCCAGGAGGTTGAGGCTGCAGTGAACCTCGATTGTGCCACTGCACTCCAGCCTAGGTGACAGAGTGAGACCTTTTCTCTAAAAAGAAAAAAATAGTCGAACTCATCGAAGCAGAGAGTAGAATGGTGGTTGTCAGGGATTTTGGGGGAGGATAAGTGGGGAGTTGTTATTCAGTGGATATAAAGTTTCAAAAACAATATGCAGAGCTTTTCCAAACAACCCACTCTAAACAAAAGAAACTGCTTCCTATCACCCTGCCAACAGCTTTTCAACTAAAGCAAGAATATGTGTGGATATGTTGGTTTTCACCTGTGTTTACAGTTTGTTGCTTTTTTTTTTTTTTTTTTTTTGAGACAGAATTTGGCTCTTGTTGCCCAGGCTGGAGTGCAATGGCGTAATCTCAGCTCACCGCAACCTCCAGCTCCCGGGTTCAAGTGATTCTCCTGTCTCAGCCTCCCAAGTAGCTAGGATTACAGGCATGTGCCTCCACGCCCAGATAATTTTCTATTTTTAGTAGAGAAGGGGTTTATCCATGTTGGTCAGGCTAGTCTTGAACTCCTGATCTCAGGTGATCTGCCCGCCTCGGCCTCCCAAAGTGCTGGGATTATAGGCGTGAGCCACCACTCCAGACCAGTTTGTTGCTTTTTACAAGAATGAGAATGTTGATGCCATTCAATGATACAACAGCATCTTGGCTAAGTGGCATCGCGGTACTGGGACTCTCTGCCTCTAACCCATGGAGGTCCCAGAGGTGTAGGCAGAAGTTAGGGAGGGCCCATATGTAGGGGAGCAAAAGACAGTGAACCCAAAACACTGCATTGGAACTTCAAGCACAAACATCCTTATGGATGACCGTAACAGTCTGGGAGGGCCACGGGGCAGGGCTGGGAACCTGAGACCCGGGTTGTCTGTCAGTAAGCAGTTTCTTCACCATGTCATGCTTAAACAGGCTGCGTAGCTCATTTCGTTCCTTTCACCAATATGTCGTGAAGTTGTCCTGCTTAGGAGGAAGTAATAAATTATATCACCTCAGGTATGTTTGCTTCTGTCAAAATGACTTTGTGGAACTGATCTTTATCAATATGTTTCTACTAGCTCCAGCAACTTTGTTTATGTGTTTTATTCACTGACTTAGAAGATTTTACGGTAATGTGATATATTATCAAGTTCCTGCCCAAAGTAAAGTACAAGAACTCTGAAACAAAATTTTAAAAATATTAGAGGGCCAAAATAAAGACAATGAAATTCCGATTTTTATTCCAATTTTTAAAAATACATTACAATGCATAATTTTTCATTTTGGTCACAGTGGGACATCTGGGGGAAGTTGTGTTAAAAAAAACTCAGGAAATCCATGCATTTATTTTCAGCACAGAAAGTAAATATAAGCTTCACATTTTTAAAATGCTACACAAGCCTTTGGTAAGTGTAGATTTTAAAGTTTCATACTGAGATTTGGAGGTATTTATTATTATATCAATTTTTATTTAAATGTCAAGATTTATAATTTTTCTAATAGAGGAAAATTTGCTCTGTTAAGATTACCAGTTATACATATTAAAAATTAGACTCAGTTCAATCCACTACGTTTTTTTGTTTTGTTTTTTTTAGACAGAGTCTCACTCTGTCGCCAGGCTGGACAGGCTGGAGTGCAGTTGTGCGATCTCGGCTCACTACAACCTCTGCTTCCCGGGTTCAAGTGATTCTCCTGCCTCAGCCTCCCGAGTAGCTGGGATTACAGGTGCGCGTCACCACGCCCAGCTAATTTTTGTATTCTTAGTAGAGACGGGGTTTCACCATGTCGGCGAGGATGGTCTTGATCTCTTGACCTCATGATCTGCCCGCCTCGGCCTTCCAGAGTGCTGGGATTACAGGCGTGAGGCACTGCGCCCAGCCCAGATTGGATAATTTCTGAAAAATTGTTTGCAAGTGCATGGACACTTTCTTCTATCATCTCCAATCTGCTGGTAAGCCTATCCCATGGTGTTTTATTTTATTTTAAAGCCTTCGATTTTCAGTTCTAGACTTTTAAACTTGGATCATTTAAATAGTTTCCATATTCTGTTGAAATTCTCTATATCTTTTTATTTATGATGACAATATTTTCCTTAGGTCTTTGAATATTTATAATAGCTGTTTTAAAGTTCTTGTCAGCTATTTCCAACATCTGAGCCATCTCACATCTTTTTCTATAGACTGCTTCTCCTCTTAACCTCATGGTACTAGTCTTATTTACTTAAATAGCTACTATTTTGTTTGTATATTGTACATGATGAATAATATGTTGAAGAGTTTTGGATTTTACCTTTCTTAACTGAGTGTTGCTTTCTGTTTTAAGTAATCAATTGCTTTTTCGACAAATCACCTTAAATTTGTGGATGCTTAGTATTACCCTTTCTAAAGATGCATTCATTTTAGCTTTGGCACTAGTTTTAGGGTGAATTCCTTAGATGTAGAACATACAGTTTACTCTTAGGGCATGGCCTTAGTGCTATGCAAACTCCAAATTCCATCTCCCTTGCAGTGCGCAGCCGACGAGATGGTTGCTTTGTTTTGACGCTTTCCAGCTGTTGCTTTACGTTGACATCTTTAGAGTCTCATCTCGTTAAGCCCTGTTCAGGTGTCAGCCAAGAATTCAAAGTGAGTTTAAACACAAATTTTAGGGTTTCCTCTTTGTGGCTCCCTCTTTTCCAAGGTCCGTCCCCTCAATTTCCAGGTCCTTTGGCAGCCCCAGACTCCATCCTCTGACAAGTCAAAAGCATCGCAATTTCTGCTCAGTCCTAGCCATTCCACGCCTTGTGCACTGGGGAGTGCCCTCAGGGAGCAGCTGTATAAACATGAATCTCATTCAGTGTGGGTGGTTTTCTTATTTCAAGTGTCAAATGCCCTCCACTTTCTTTTTTTTTTTTGAAACAAAGTCTTGCTCTGTTGCCTAGGCTGGAGTGCAGTGGCCTCCGGGTTCATGCAGTTCTCCTTCCTCAGCTTCCCGAGTAGCTGGGATTATAGGCATGTGCCAGTACACCCAGCTAATTTTTTGTATTTTTAGTAGAGACAGGGTTTCCCCATGTTGGCCAGGCTGGTCTCGAACTCCTGACCTCAGGTGATCTGCCTGCCTCAGCCTCCCAAAGTGTTGGGATTACAGGTGTGAGCCACTGTGCCCAGCCTTCCCTCCACTTTCTACCTAACTTTGGTGATTTTTTTCCAGGGTCTTCAAATAATTAAATTTTATATTTGTCTAGAGTTTTATAATAATTACCTGAAGAAGAGTTAGTCCAATACAAGCCACTCCACCATTTCCAGAACCAGAAATTCAAGAAGTTATTTTTGAGTACTGATACCCCAATATTTCCAAAGATTGCGTTTTATGACCCCAAATATTTCTATTTGTGTGTTTATGACTTGACATGTAGATATGTAATAGCAAAACAGATATTATGATCTTTGCCATAACTTCAAGATTTTCAGTAGCTTCATATTAATTGTTGTGGGAAGTCAGGGAACCCAAACGGAGGGACCAGCTGGAGCCACGGCAGAGGAACATTAATTGTGAAGATTTCATGGACATTTCCCAAATAACACATTTTTAATTTCTTATGCCTGTCTTTAATCTCTTAATCCTGTTATCTTCATAAGCTGAGGATGTACGTCACCTCAGAACCACTGTGATAATTGTGTTAACTGTACAAATTGATTGTAAAACGTGTGTTTGAACAGTATGAAATCAGTGCACCTTGAAAAAGAACAGAATAACAGCGATTTTTAGGGAACAAGGGAAGACAACCATAAGGTCTGACTGCCTGCGGGGTCGGGCAAAAACAGCCATATTTTTCTTTTTGCAGAGAGCCTATAAACGGACGTGCAAGTAGGGAAGATATCACTAAATTCTTTTCCTAGCAAGGAATATTAATATTAATACCCTGGGGAAGGAATGTATTCCTGGGGGGAGGTCTGTAAACGGCCACTCTGGGAGTGTCTGTCTTATGCAGTTGAGATAAAGACTGAGATACGCCCTGGTCTCCTGCAGTACCCTCAGGCTTACTAGGGTGGGGAAAAAACGCCCTGGTAAATTTGTGGTCAGACCAGTTCTCTGCTCTTGAACCCTGTTTTCTGTTGTTTAAGATGTTTAGCGAGACAATATGTGCACGGCTGAACATAGACCCTTATCAGTAGTTCTGCTTTTGCCCTTTGTCTGGTGATCTTTGTTGGACTCTTATCAGTAGTTCTGCTTTTGCCTTTTGTCCTGTTCCCTCAGAAGCATGTGATCTTTGTTCTGCTTTTTGTCCTTTGAAGCATGTGATCTTTGTACCTACTCTCTGTTCTTACACCCCTCGCCTTTTGAAACCCTTAATAAAAAACTTGCTGGTTTGAGGCTCAGGTGGGCATCATGGTCCTACCGATATGTGATGTCACCCCTGGTGGCCCAGCTGTAAAATTCCTCTCTTTGTACTCTTTCTCTTTATTTCTCAGCCAGCCGACACTTATGGAAAATAGAAAGAACCTATGTTGATATATTGGGGGTGGGTTCCCTCAATAATTAATCTTGATATTTTCCCCCGTGCCTTCATCTTTTGTTTTTCATTAATTGTTTCATCCTCAGATAATCAATTTTTCAGTAGTTCAGTCTTACTGGTGATTTCTTCCAATTCTCCTTCCAAGGTGGAGTGTTTGTGTGTATATTTTAAGACTACCAGCATGTTTCTTGTCAAAGATTGGCAGAATATCCTTTGGTAAACGATTATTATCAGGACAGGGCTGACCTAGCAGCTGCATGCTTCTTTAAGACTGTGCATTTCACATTTGAGCTTTTCAATTTCTGGGAAGATAAGCATTCTCAAAGAAGATATAATTACATGGCCTTCTTAGAATTTCCGATTGATAGTATTTCATAAGCCTATAATAAATTAAGAATTTCAGAACTTTGTTATATTTAAAATCAGCAATAAAATAGTTAAGATGTACAACAGGAAAAATGTAAAAGACTTGCATATGCCATGCTTTTCTGAAAAACAAAAAAAGTGTTCTGCTAAAAGTATCTTTCAAAAAGGATCTTTAGTGTTCTAATCAGAGAATCTAAGTGGGCCAATGTTTGCTGTTGTGTTATATTCATGAGCAATTGCTAGGTGATGAAGCTTTGTATTTGAATAGCATTTGACAATCTACAAATGCCAAGTATTATTATGTGTTAATGAGTCTCGACTTTGCATTTCCAAGTCTGCGCCTCTGTCCTGAACTCTAAACTTACATATCCAACTGCCTACTCAACACTTCACGTAGAAATCTTATGGTTTGAACTTATCCTGTTCAAAACTGAGCTCTCAATATTTTTTCTTCTTCCTTCATTTCCCCAAGCTGCTCCTTCCACAGCCTTCCCCATCTCAGTTTATGGCAACTTCTGAGTTGCGGTAAGAGCTGCCAGGTGCTGCAGCTGCCCAAACCACAGCTGCAGACCCAGGCCTCCTGCTCTAAGGAGCAGGAAGGAGCCCCACCCTCCTGGGCGGGGCTACAGCCTCCCAAACTGCAGCTGTGGATCAGAGTCACCCTATGCTCTTGGGGGAGGGCGGGAAGCAGGCAGTATCTGCCTTCCCAGTGCAGCTAAAGCTGCCCTCCTAGGCGCAGGACCCAGGAGTATCTGCAGCCTGCACCCTCAGGGGCCCCAGGAAAGATTTTCCCCTCCCCCCAGCCCTACCCTCAACCTCCCTCCCACTCCGCACCCCCACTCTCAACCTCCCTCCCACCCCCATCCCCACCCTCAACCTCCCTCCCATTCCCTCACACTTAACCTCCCTCCCACACCCCCACCCTCAATCTCCCTCCCACACGCCCACCCCTGCTACCCAGGAAAGACTCCCCCACCCATTCCCCCACCCCACTGTAGAGCAGTGGGACACCATGGAAGTATCTCCAAATCCGGAATCATAAGTCTTGCACTTGATTATTGTCTTTGAAATTGACAATGTGTGGCCGGGTGTGGTGGCTCACACCTGTACTCCCAGCACTGTGAGAGGCTGAGGTGAGCAGATCACATGAGGTCAGGAGTTCAAGACCAGCCTGGCCAACATGGCGAAACCCTGTCTCTACTAAAAATACAAAAATTGGCCCAGCACAGTGGCTCACGCCTGTAATCTCAGCACTTTGGGAGGCTGAGGCGGGTGGATCACGAGGTCAGGAGTTCAAGACCAATCTGGCCAAGATGGTGAAACCCCGTCTCTACTAAAAATACAAAAGTTAGCCAGGCGCCTGTAATCCTAGCTACTAGGGAGGCTGAGGCAGAGAATTGCTTGAACCCGGGAGGTGGAGGTTGCAGTGAGCTGAGATTGCATTACAGCACTCCAGCCTGGGCGACAGAGCGAGACTCAGTCTCAAAAAAAAAAAAAAAAAATTAGCTGGGCATGGTGGTGGGCGCCTGTAATCCCAGCTACTTGGGAGGCTGAGGCAGGAGGATTTCTTGAACCTGGGAGGCAGAGGTTGCCGTGAGCCGAGATCATGCCACTGCACTCCAGCCTGATTAGTGAGACCTTGTCTCAACAAACAAACAAAAATAAAAAACTAATACAATTTTATTGTTCAGGCCTTGGAAGTGGTAGGCTGGCTTCTTGCATTGGTGACAACACACCCCAAATTTTGTGTTTCCCTCTGGCAGGCTCACTTTGAGAGAGAGATTTTTCAACTGGCTGCAAACAAGATAGGGTAGATCTTGGAAACCATAATATAGAGGAATTGAAGGCACTTGGCCATGAGAAGAAAGAAGTCATTGCAGGCAAGAGCACTGTGTTCCAATGCTTAGGGATACAGAATGAAGAACAGAATTATTTTGTGTGGTCCAGAAGACAAATCTAGGACAAATAGTTGGCTTTTCATATAGGGATGGTTTCATCTTAGCATAAAGAAAAACACTGTCTTCAATTTCTCATCATTTGAGCTAGTTAGCAATAGAATGAGGCACCTGCATCATTGGGCTTATGAATTAATTCTGCAAATATGTATTGAATGCCTACTATATGCCAAGCCCTGTTCTGGACATGAGCAGGTGATCAATGAGATAGTCATGGATTTGCCGTAATAGAATTTACATTCTAGTGGGGCAGATAACCAACAAGCAAAAAAAAATTAATTTCCATGAAGAAAATGAAATTGTCATGAAGAAAACAAAGCAGGGCACATGATAGAGAGAACGGGGTGGGAAGGGAGCTGAGCAAGAGATGGCGCAGTCAGGGAAAGCTCTGTGAAGACAGCATTTGAGCCCAGACATAAGTATTTAACCAAAAGAATCAGCTCTGCAAATATCTCAGGGAAAGGCAATCCAGGCAGGAGGTACATGAGTAGGGGGCTCTCAGCCGATGACCCTGTGATGGCTAAAATTATATGTCCACTTGGCTAGGCTATGGCACCCACTTGTTTGGTCAAACACTAATCTATATGCTGCTGTGATGGGGTTTTATAGATATGATTAACATTTACAATCAGCTGACTTAAGTATGTTACCCTCCATAATGCAGGTGGGCCACATCCAATCAGTGGAAGGTCTTAAGAGCAAAAACTGAGGTTCCTCAGAGAAGAAGGAAATGTTTTAAGACTTCAGCATCAATTCCTGCCTGAGTTTCTAGCCTGCTGGCCTGCTCTACAAATTTCAAGCTTGCTAGCCCTCACAATCACATGAATAAATTCCTTAAAATAAATCTCATATGTGTGTATGTATGTGTATGTACGTATGTGTATATTGCTAACTAGCTCAAATGATGAGAAATTGAAGACAATGTTTTTCCTTATGCTAAGCTGAAATCATCCCTATATGCAAAGCCAACTATTTGTACACACACACACACACACACACACACACACACACACACATACACACACACATATATATCCTATTGGTTCTATTTCTCTGAAGAATCCTGACTATTTTGGACCCCTCCCTGAGGGGCTTTCACACTCCCTGGCATGTAATGTCTATGATTCCACAGCTAATTAAGTGGGTGTGGAGAATAGATTTTAACGGGTTAGGATGCTGGAATTATTTAGATAAAAATGCTGAGAATGAGGTATTCAGAAGGCATTTCTACTTCACAAATATTTCTGCTGATTACTGATTCCTAGAGTGTAGTGGGGTTTACTACCACCGTGAATGTCCAATCCAAAATGGAAAATTCAGCGGGGCGCCATGGCTCACACCTGTAATCCCAGCACTTTGGGAGGCCAAGATGGGCAGATCATGAGGTCAGGAGATCAAGACCATTCTGGCCAACATGGTGAAACCCCATCTCCACTAAAAATACAAAAATTAGCTGGGCTTGGCGGCACGTGCCTGTAATCCCAGCTACTCAGGAGGCTGAGGCAGGAGAATCACTTGAACCTGGGAGGCGGAGGTTGCAGTGAGCCAAGATCGTGCCACTGCACTCCAGCCTGGTGAAAGAGCTAGACTCCATGTCAAAAAAAAAAAAAAAGAAAAAAGAAAAAGAAAAATGGAAAATTCGGCGGGGCCTGGTGGCTCACGCCTGTAATCCCAGCACTTTGGGCAGCTGAGGCAGGCAGATCACCTGAGGTCGGGAGTTCCGGACCAGCCTGACCAACACGGAGAAACCCCACCTCTACTAAAAATACAAAATTAGCTGGGCGTGGTGGCGCATGCCTGTAATCCCTACTCAGGAGGCTGAGCCAGGAGAATTGCTTGAACCTGGGAGGTGGAGGTTGTGGTGAGCCGAGATCGTGCCATTGCACTCTAGCCTAGCCTGGACGACAATAACGAAACTCCTTCTCAAAAAAAATAAAAAATAAAAAAAAGGGGAAAATTCATCCTTGACTCCATTTCTACATTTTAGAATGGGTTTCTTACTAAGTTTAGAATTTCTCTTGGATAACATTTAAAAAGTAAGAAGGAACTGTGGGAATTCAAAATTTTTTTTGTCCAGTCTTTGCTGGATTATTTAAAATAGACATATTTATATTTTTGAGAAAAACTTTTAACTTATATTTATAATCCAAGGAATATTCTAGTTACTCAAGTTGGAGTGAAAGGTGTTATCAGTGAGCAACCATTTTTGATTTATGATCTATTACAAATACCTGAGAAATCACCTTGAAATGATTTTCCTGGCATTTGCACAACTGATACAGGTCAGTGATAATATTCATTATTCTGTCACTGCTTACTGCTCCCTTCAAGTTCAGCAAATGCCTGGTATAACATTTCACAGACTCAGGGCAAGTTGACCTCATCAGAGAATTGAATCTCCAGGGTCTTATGGCCACAGCTGACAATCATGGGTATTTTCCATCAGTGGTACAGAGTGTAGAAAAATGTTGTCAGCCACTGAATAACTGGTGATAGAATAAGAGTTAACAGATTACTCTCTCTGGTCAACTTATCCTATTGAGGAGTAGATATAAAGTCTTACATATATTGGCCTTGGGTACTATTAGTCTTCTTTCTTCTCCATATAGAATGTGTTTAGCTTTTTATATATGTAAACTTGTCTAATCTTAAATTATGCTATTTAAGTTGTGTTGATTCTCAGTAAAGCAAATTATTCTCCATAACTTGGATGGGGCTTGTCCCACCCACTCAGTTGAAGACTTTAAGTATCAAGACTGAGGTTTCCCAGAGAAGGAGGAATTCTCAGTCAGCAACATAGATACCTTGCCCATGTTTCCATCCTACTGCCCTCCAAAATTTGGACCCAAGACTGAAACTATGACTGGCTGGAATTTCCAGCTTGCTGGGCTGCCCTGCATATTTCTGACTTGCCAGTTCCAACAACTGTGTAAGCCAATTCCTTAAACTAAATATCTCTCTAGATCTACATCTACGTAGCTATCAAATACTAGATCTATTCATTCTATATAACTATATTTTTATACCCATTATCCATCCCCACTTCACCCCTGCCTATTTGCTTTGATTTCCAACCTCTGGTAACCATCATTCTATCCTCTATCTCCATGAGTCCGATTGTTTTAATTTTTAGCTCCCACACATAAGTGAGAGCACAAGAAATGTGTCTTTCTGTGTCTGGCTTATTTCGCTTCATATAATGTCCTCCTCTTCTACCTATGTTGTCACAAATGACAGGATTTCCTTCTTTTTTTTTTTATCACTAAATAGTATTATTTAAATGTTTTGTTCATTTATTTGTTTATGAGCCGCAGTTTCGCTCTTGTTGCCCAGGCTGGAGTTCAGTGGCACGGTCTCGGCTCACTGCAACCTCCACCTTCCAGGTTCAAGCAATTCTGCTGTCTCAGCCTCCCAAGTAGCTGGGATTACAGGTGCCCACCACCACGCCCAGCTAATTTTTTGTATTTTTAGTAGAGAGGGGGTTTCACCATGTCGGCCAAGCTGGTCGCAAACTCCTGACCTCAGGAGATCCACCCACCTCAGCCTCCCAAAGTGCTGGGATTATAAGCGTGAGCCACTGTGCCCGACCTAAATGTTATTTTTTAGAACAGTTTTAGATTTACAAAAAATTAGGATGACAATACAGAGTTCACAAAAGCCTAGCACCCCGTTTCCTTTGTTATTAACTGTATTAGGCCATTCTTGCATTGTTATTTACACCTGAGGCTGGGTAATTTATAAAGAAAACAGGTTTAATTGGCTCACAGTTCTGCAGGCCCTACAAAGAAGCTTGGTAATGGCATCTGCTCAGCTTCTGGGGAGGCCTCAGGAAGGTTACAGTCATGGTGGAAGGTGAAGTGGAAGCAGGAGTCTCACATGGCCAGAGCAGGAGCAAGAGAGGGAGTTGGGGGAAGGTGCTACACACTTTTAAACAACCAGATCTCATGAGAATTCACTATCAAGAGGACAGCACCAAGGCATGAGGGATCTGTCCCCATGACCTAATCACCTCTCAGCAGGCCCCATCTCCAACACTGGGGATTACATTTCACCATGAGATGTGGTGGGCACACAGATGCGAACCATATCATTAACATATTACCTTAGCATGGTACATTTGTTACAGCTAATACACCAATATTGATGCCTCGTTATTAACCAAAGTCCCTACTTTATTCAGATGTCCTTAGTTTTTACCTAATTTCCTTTTCTTCTCCAGAATCCCATCCAGGATATATAACATTTAATCCTCATGTCTCTTTAGATTCCCCTAGACTGTGAGTTTCTTAGACTTTCCTTGTTTTGACAACTCTGACAATTTTGAGGTGTACTGCTCAGGCATTTTGTACAATACCCCTCAATTATGATTCGTCTGATGTTTTTCTCATGATTAGACTGGGATTCTGTGTTTTTTGGGAGGAAGATCACAGAGGTGAAGTGCCATTTTCATCACATCATATCACGGGCACATGCTAGCAGCATGACATCACTGTTGCTGTTGACCTTGGTCACCTGGTCATCTGGTAGTGTTTATCTAGTTTCCCCACTGGGAAGTTCCTCCCTCCACTCCCCACTTTCCACACTGTGCTCTTTAGAAGGAAGTCACCATATATAGGCCATACCTAAGAAGTGAGGAGTTATGCTTCTTGAGGGTAAGGGTGGCAACATAGATTAGTTAAAATTATTTTGCACAGGAGATTTTTCTGTACTCCCCCATGATTGATATTTATTCAATTAGGTACTCATATCGGGGCGGACTCCTGCGTTTTTTAAATACTTTGGGTTGTAATCGAATACTGGGTTATTATTTTTTAAAATAGTTCCAACTTTGGCCATAGGAGCTCTTTCCATTGGATTGCATGTCCTTTTGCCATGACTCTGAGGTAGGAGACTGGACTCAGTTCCAGAGGCAGGGCTTGGACACTGAACCAAATTGAGGACTAGCTAAAACAGAGATGGGGCAGAAGCACCTTTCTATAAGACACACCCACCAGTGTGCCATGGCAACATATGGAAGTTACCACGCCTTTCTATGACAACAACTTGACAACCTGGAAGTTACCACACTTTTTAAATAATTGTCTGCATAATCTGCCCCTTAATTTGCATATAATTAAAATGAGGCATAAATGTGACTGCTGAACTGCCTCTGAGCTGCTACTCTGGGCACATTTGCTGTGGGGTAGCCCTGCTCCACAAAGAGCAGTACCTCTGCTGCTGCTTATACAGTGCTGCTTCAATAAAAGTAGCTGTCTAGGCCAGGCGCGGTGGCTCACACCTGTAATCCCAACACATTGGGAGGCCAAGGCGGGCAGATCATTTGAGGTCAGGAGTTTGAGACCAGCTTGGCCAGCTAGTGAAACCCCGTCTCTGCTAAATACAAAAATTAGCCGTGCATGGTGGTGGGCACCTATAATCCCAGCTACTCGGGAGGCTGAGGCAGGAGAATCACTTGAACCCAGGAGGTGGAGGTCGCAGCGAGCCAAGATCGCACCATTGCACTCCAGCCTGGGCGGCAGAGCAACACACCCTCTCAAAAAAAAAAGTTGCTGTCTAACACCACTGGTTTCCCCTTGAATTCTTTCCTCAGCAGAGCCAAGAACTCTCCCAGGCTAAGCCTCAATTTTGAGGCTCATCTGCCCTGCATCAGCTCCAGTTTTTGTTGTTGTTGCTTGAAGCCCTTACTTTCTTGCATTACAAGGTGCTCCAGTCTCTCCTTGTTCACCTGGAAGTGGTAATAGAGGAGAGCCACTTACTAAAACTGTATAAGACGTTGGCGCACAAGCGGCCCTGCTGAGATCCCTCCCAGGCAAGTGTAACACGAGCTGGTAGAGGGCCCTCCTCTACTTCCACATTTGGCCCTGGCAGGCTTTAATATTCTCTCACTCTTTACTCCCCTTCTCTTTTTTTGCACCATAAAGTCTCAGGTATCTCAGCTGACATGTGGTGCCCACTGGATGTCAGTGCCTGAGAGCAGAATGGTGGAGAACACATTTTTTACGAAGGATATTTATTGGAAGCCATTTCCCAAGCCAGGTCTCCAAATATTTTTATAAAAACAATTTATAAAGTTTACAGCAATTGCTATTATCTGGGATGGGATGATGGGTATGGGTTTTTTCTTTCTTTTTTTAAGTTTTGAGGATTTCTGCAAAACTTTGATAGGCCAATTTTCATTTTATATTCATAGTAGCATCTCAAGGAATACTTGATTATCCTCCGCCTTGAATTTCTGCTACTGTGATACAGTCAGTTGGGCAGAAAGAAGACTTTTTGCTGGGGGAAAGATGGGGAACATTGAGTGGCAGAGAAAGAGGGCACATGAGTACATTCTTCACTAATACTCTTAGTTATAGGAATGTACACAACACTTTTGCCTTTATTGAAAACATATTCGGCCAGGCACAGTGGCTCACACCTGTAATCCCAACACTGGGAGGCCGATGTGGGCGGATCATGAGGTCAGGAGATCGATATCATCCTAACATGGTGAAACCCCATCTCTATTAAAATACAAAAAATTAGCCAGGTGTGGTGGCAGGCGCCTGCAGTCCCAGTTACGTGGGAGGCTGAGGCAGGAGAATGGCATGAACCTGGGAGGCAGAGCTTGCAGTGAGCTGAGATCATGCCACTGCACTTCAGCCTGGGCGACAGAGCGAGACTCTGTCTCAAAAAAAAAAAAAAAATGTATTATTGGCCAGGCGCCATGGCTCACATCTGTAATCCCAGTACTTTGGGAGGCCAAGGCAGGCGGATCACCTGAGGTCAGGAGTTCGAGACCAGCCTGGCCAACTTGGTGAAACCCTGTCTCTACTAAAAATACAAAAATTAGCCGAGTGTGGTGGCAGGTGCCTGTAATCCCAGCTACTCAGGAGGCTGAGGCATGAGAGGAATCTCTTGAACCTGGGAGGCGGAAGTTGCAGTGAGCTGAGATCATGCCACTGCACTCCAGCCTGGGGGACAGAGCGAAACTCTGTCTCAAAAACAAAAAACAAAACAAAAAAACATATTCCTCACAAAGAATGTAAGCCCCATGAGGGCAAGAACCATGTCTACGTTGTCCATCCCTTTACTGTCAGGTTTTAGAACATTGTAGGTGTTCAGAAACTTTGTTTGAATGTGGGATCATTGATATGTTTATTATGTGCATGAACATATTCAACATCTATTGCTTCAAAAACAGATTCTTTACAAATAGAAACAGTGCTCTATTCATTCAAGTATATTATTCTTACAAATGTATTAAAATATTCATAATCAAGAAGAATATATTCATAAAGATAGTTGTTGAATATTCATAAGGATGTTTCATAAAATTTTGTGAACAAATTTCATGAAGATTTTATGAACAAATTACTTATGAAGTAATTTGAGGAATGTGTACATGGAAAGTTTTTGAAGAACATCTGGAGAAGAAAATACTAATAAGGAAAATATTTTAATAAGAAAAGCTTCAAGATGAGGAAAATATTCATGAAGAGTGTTCCTCATCTTCCCCTCTGCCTCTGCAGCTGGGCTGTTTTGCCTTCCCCATTTCATTCTTTCCTTGGAGAATTTTCCTCTGCCCAGCTCTTCCAGCTGCAGAGACAAGTTCAGCCTTCACAATTTTAATGTTTCCAACAATCATAAAATTAGCAAGTAAAAATTCTTGAAATATCATTATATTTTCCTATGTATAAAATACAATGCATGCAATAATGTACTGCCATGCCCTGCTATTTAACCTATTATTTGGCGTGTCTTATTTCTCTTGTTTACTACAAATTTCTTTTGAAATATTTTTTAGAGGCTGGGTACCGCTGTGTCTCCCAGGCTGGAGGGCAGTGACTATTCACAGGCAGGATCACAGTGCATACTCACGACCACACTGCAGCCTCAAGCCATCCTCCTGCCTCAGCCTCCTGAGTAGCTAGGACTACGGATATGCATCACTGTGCCGGGCCTATTTGTTTTTTCCTACTACAAATTTCTTGAAAGCAGCGACCTCATTTTATGCTTCTCTGTAATTCTCATAGTGAGCATTTAGCATCTAACAGGTGAATGCATATATTCTGTTGATAATGTCATGAGTTTTTTTTTTCAAATAATCTTTGCAGATATATTTTTTGAGGTAAGCTTAATTTTTTTAAAAATCACAAAACCAGATCATAAAGTTGTACCTTTATTCTAAAAGCTCTTTTTAGCGTTCCATGAGGACAGTGGCATCCTTGCAGAGGACAGTAGCACCCACAGCAGAAATGGATGGGCATCTGTCCACAGGGCACTCAGTCCTGATAACAGAAGACTGGGATAGATGACATCCATTCTGGTGTCACAATTCTGGGCACGTTTGAATTAAGGGGTTTTATTGCTACATCTTGGCAATAGCCAGAAATGATCTTTGAAAGCATAGTGCTTAAAGTGGTTAAGAGAAGGAATTCAGGTGGTTTATGGAAACCCGGATCAGTACTGCAGCCTAATACATAGGCCCTCTTGAAGCAGAAGGCTTTTTCAACTGGGGTTTTTAAAACCTCACACTTAAGAAGCATTGGAAGAGAGAATGTTTATTTTCCGCAGGCGGAGGCCTCCAAAGGCAGGTGGCTGGCATTTTTACCCAGTAGTGCCCTTCTGCTGCATCTGAAGAGCCACAGGTCGCTGCAGTTGGAGAGGGCTTCTCCTTCTTCCTCTTCTCCCCCATGCCCACAACCCTGACATGCCTCATGCTTGTCATTCAAATTTATCATTCAAACCATAACACTATGTGGGTAGCTCAGCCGTCTGAGAGAGGAGCAGAAAACCCAACTCTAATGGGCTGATGAATGGAAAATACATTACTGATGTAACATTCAAAGGACACTCTTGCTTTATCTCACCCAAGTAGAATGGAAATATGAGTAAATAGGTTGACAATCAGCTGATAGTGTCGTTTGTAAATGAAAACGTCAAAGGGTGATTTTTTTGCTTTTTAAAATCTTGTGCTGTTTATCTTTGATGTGTATACTTTAAAGGATAATAAAATATTTTTTCTCCCACTAGAGTACACAGTTAAAATAAATATTATTTTTTCATAAGTGTTCAGTACCTGAATTGTTTTTATATAAATGCACTTTTAGTTTTTTGGTTTATTCAAATGTCATTTAGTACATTTTGGACAAGAATGAAATTAAATGATAATATTCACATTAAGTAGAGTACCAGATAAAATACAGGACACCTAACTTTGAATTTAAGAAAAATGATGAATAATTTTTGTTATGTCCACGCAGTATTTGGGATACAAACTCAGGCACTACATAATGACACTTCAGTCAACTATGAACTGCATATATGTTGGCGGTCCCATAAGATTATAATAGAGCTGAAAAATTCCTATTGCCTAGTGACATCATAGCTGTCATAACGTCATAGCGAAATGCATTCCTTGTGTGTTTATGGTGATGCTGGTGTAAATCAACCTACTGCATTGCAGTCGTATAAAAGTCTAGCATATACAGTTATGTATAATATGTAATACTTGATAATGATAATAAACAACTGTGTTACTGGTTTATGTATTTACTATACTTTTTATCATGATTTTACAGTGTGCTCCGTCTATTTATAAATAAAAGTTAGCTGTAAAATAGCCTCAGGTGGGTCCTCTGGGAGGGATTCCAGAAGAAGGCATTAGTACCATAGGAGATGACAGCTCTGTGCATGTTATTGCTCCTGCAGACCTTCCAGAGAGACAAGATGTGGAGGTGGAAGACAGTGATATTGATGATTCTGACCCCATGTAGGCCTAGGCTACTGTGCGTGTTTGTGTCTTAGTTCTTAACAACAAAAAAGTTTAAAAAGCAAAAAATAAAATAAAAAATTAAGAATAGAAAAAAACTTATAGAAGGAAAGAAATATAAATAAGAAAATATTTTTGTACAACTGTACAATGTGTGTTTTAAGCTGTTATTGCAAGAGTCAAAAAGTTTTTAAAAATTTATTCTACTATAAAGACACATACACACATGTTTATTGCAGCACTATTCACAATAACAAAGACTTGGAACCAACCCAAACGCCCATCAATGATAGACTGGATAAAGAAAATGTGGCACATATACACCACGGAATACTATGCAGCCATAAAAAAGAATGAGATCATGTCCTTTGCAGGAACATGGATGAAGCTGGAAGCCATCATCCTCAGCAAACTAACGCAGGAGCAGAAAACCAAACACTGCATGTTCTCACTCACAAGTGGGAGTTGAACAATGAGAACACATGGACACAGGGAGGAGGGAGGGGAACAACACACACTGGGGGCTGTCTGGAGGTGGGGGGCAAGGGGAGGGAGGGCATTAGGACAAATACCTAATGCATGTGAGGCTTAAAACCTAGATGAATTGTTGATAGGTGCAGCAAACCACCATGGCACATGTATACCTATGTAACAAGGCTGTACATTCTGCATATGTATCCCTGAACTTAAAGTACAATTTATATATATATATATATATATATATAAATATTTTTTAAATTAAAAAGTTTTGTAAAGTAAAAATGTTATAGTAAGCTAAGGTTAATTTATTATTAAAGGAAGAAATTTTTAATAAATTTAGTGTATCCTAAGTATGCAGTATTTATAAAGTCTATGCTAGTATACAGTAAGGTCCTAGGCCTTCACATTCATTCATGACCCACTCACTGACTCAATCAGAGCAACTTCCAGTCCTGCAAGCTCTGTTCATGGTAAGTGTCCCACACAGGTGTACCATTTTTTATCTTGTTTTTTTTTTTTTTGAGCCGGAGTTTCACTCTTGTTGCCCAGGCTGGAGTGCAACAGCATGATCTTGGCTCACCGCAACCTCTGCCTCCCAGGTTCAAGCTATTCTCCTGTCTTAGCCTTCTGAGTAGCTGGGATTACAGGTGCATGCCACCAGGCCTGGCTAATTTTTGTATTTTTAGAAGAGACAGGGTTTCATCATATTGGTCAGGCTGGTCTCAAACTCCTGACCTCAGGTGATCCACCCACCTCGACCTCCCAAATTGCTGGGATTACAGGCATGAGCCACTGCACCCGGCCCATTTTTTATCTTTTATACTATATTCTCACTGTACCTTTTCTATGTTTAGATATGTTTAGATACACAAATACTTATTACATTATAATTGCCTACAATATTCAGTACAGTACTATGATGTCCAGGTTTGTGGCCTAGGAGCCATAGGTTCTACCATATTAGCCTAAGTGTATAGTGGGCTCTATCATCTAGGTTTGTGCAAATACAATCTGGTTTCTCCACAAGGATGAAGTCGCCTAAGGACACATTTCTTAGAATATATTCCCATTGCTAAGTGATGAATGACTGTGCTTATATTAAAAAATTACTCATTGTTTATCCAAAATTCAAATTTAACTGGATGGCCTGTATTTTTGTTTGCTAACTGTGGCAACCCTATCACCAAGGCAAATTTCACTGGAAGAAATTTGAAGCTCTCACTACAGTTTTTAATCAAGCACGTTGACTTTTATTCACACTTGAAAATCAATGTTACATCATCCAGAGAGTACGTATGTTGTCTCCAGCTCCTTGTTTCCCACTGGCCCTCAGCCCATTCCAATCTGCCTCACAGAGCCCCGTCACCCCATGGAAACAGGTGTCTTCACGGTCACCAACACGTTCCCTGTTGCTACACCCAATGGACGCTCATGTTAACATCTCAGCCGCATTCTGCAATGTTGACCTCCTTCTCTCTTTTGAAAGAGTTCGACTCCGGCTTCTGTGACCCCCTTCTCTGTCCTGGTTTTCTACTTATCTGGACACTAATTCTCATCTCCTCTATCAGATCCTTCTCCTCTTAACTCCAAATTGGGAACTCTTCATGGCTTCATGCAAGGTTCCCCTGTCCTCCTCTATACCAACACTGTCCAATAGAACTCCCTGTGACGATGGACATGTCCTCTTTCTGCACCATCCAATGAAGTAGCCACTAGCTATATATGGCGACTACGCACTTGAAATGTAGCTCGTGTGACTGAGGGATGGAATTTTAAATTTTATTTATTTAATTTTTTTATTGAGAGTTTTGCTCTGCCACGCAGGCTGGAGTGCAGTGATGCAATCTTGGCTCACTGCAACCTCTGCCTGCTGGGTTCAAGTGATCCTCCTGCCTCGGCCTTCGGAGTAGCTGGGATTATAAGAATGTGCCATCATGCCTGGCTAATTTTTGTATTTTTTATAGAGACTGGGTCTTGAACTCCTGACCTCAAGTGGTCTGCCCACCTTGGCTTCCCAAAGTTCTGGGATTACAGACATGAGCCACTGTGCCCAGCTAACTTTTATTTAATTTTGATTAATTTATATTACCACATATGGCCAGTGGCTACCATATTGGACAGTACAGCTCTAGATTATCTTACTAGGTGAGCTACTATTGGCTTTAAAAAGCGGCTTTATGCTTATGATTTCCTGATATTTATCCATATCTCTGACCCTCCACAGAGGTCCAGGGTTATATCCATCTGATAGCTTCAATGACTCACAAGCATTAAGGGACCATAACTGTTCTTTTCTCAGCTGCCAATATTTCAGGAATGGTACCATCATTTACTCAGTTTGTTGAAGCCGGAAACTGAGAGTAGTTCTTTATTTTTCCTTATTCCTTACTATCCACACCTGAATCATAAGTTCGTTCCACTGATGCTACCTCCAACTTACCTTTTTTTTTTTTTATGGGCACCCTATTTACTTTTATTACCCGGCAGGATTTGCGGGATAATTGCCCAGAACTGGCATATTGATCCAGATTTTTACATTACCCGTCCCTTTTTGTTTCTTCCAAGCTGCAGGAGATCACTACTTGATTCAGGGGAATAAGCAGGGTTAGTCACAGGTTAGGAAATCTGCATGGGGACTGTGTAGAAAAGGTAGGAAGCCAGTCATCCCCAAGGGGCCTTTATTGGCTCTGCAAGTCAAACTCGATTCCTTAAAGGGAAGCACAGTTCCAGTCAAAGCTTTGGTAAAACAATCAGTTTCTCCAATTGTGTCTTCAGACTTCTATTGGTGTAGTGCATGCAGTTAACTCCTGTTTGACGTTCATGAACATTTCAGCTCTTCATGAGTCCTGCACATTTTTTCTCTATTCCAATGTTGTGATCTTCAAAGCTATTAGAAACCCTTCAAAGCTATTAGAAACGATCCCAGATGGGGCCCTAAAATGAAGCAGCATCATTCGCTGGGGTAAATATCTGAGGTTCATCGTCTCACACCAAGGAAATTGAAGACGTGGACACACAAGAAGTGAGTTTAAGAGCACAGGTTTATAGGCGAAAGAAAGAGAAAGGAGAATAGTTCTCTCTCCTGCAGAGAGAGAGGGGCTCCCGAGTGGGTCTTCCCCAAATTACATTTTGAATCTGTCTACTTCCTTCCATCTCCACCAACACCATCTAGTCCAAGCCACTATCATTTCTTGCCTGGACTACTTGCAGTCATCTTCCTGCTTCCTAAACCCAGCTTTAATCCAGTATCCACACAGCATCGGGATGATTCCTCTCAAAACATAAATTGGATCATGCCACTTTGTTCCTTAAAATTCTTCAGTGGTGGCCGGGCGCAGTGGTTCATGCCTGTAATCCCAGCACTTTGGGAGGCTGAGGCGGGTGGATCACAAGGTCAGGAGTTCAAGACCAGCCTGGCCAAGTCGGTGAAACCTCATCTACTAAAAATACAAAACTTAGCCGGGCATGGTGGCATGTGCCTGTAATCCTAGCTACTCAGGAGGCTGAGGTAGGAGAACCGCTTGAACCTGGGAGGCGGAGGTTGCAGTGAGCCGAGATCGTGCCATTGCACTCCAGCCTGGACCACAAGAGCGAAACTCCATCTTCAAAAAAAAAAAAAAAAAGGCCAGGCTCAGTGGCTCACACCTGTAATCTCAGCACTTTGGGAGGCCGAGGCAGGCGGATCACGAGGTCAGGAGTTCGAGACCATCCTGGTTAACACAGTGAAACCCCGTCTCTACTAAAAATACAAAAAAATTAGCCGGGCACGGTGGCGGGCGCCTGTAGTCTCAGCTACTCGGGAGGCTGAGGCAGGAGAATGGCGTGAACCCAGGAGGCGGAGCTTGCAGCAAGCCAAGATCACACCACTACACTCCAGCCTGGGCGACAGAGCGAGATTCCATCTAAAAAAAAAAAATTCTTCAGTGGTTTGCCATGGCTCTTGGAATAAAATCTAGATGCCCTGTACTGGACTTCAAGGCTCTGAGCCCTGCTTTCCATTTCAGCCCAATTCATGCCATACTTCTCCTATGTACACTGTGTTTACACACTGATAAGTTGATCCCTTGTTAACTTGGCACCCATATGCATCCCTTATACCATACTTAATTTCCAAATAAAGACATGGTAGCTCTGCCTAACGTGATGCGACTAACATAATGTAACTATCCTGCGTACAACTGAACATGCGCAACCCTTTTTCCAGAATTCAGCTTCCAGGATCTCAGCATTTGGGATTTTAATCTTTTGGGATTGTGATTTTTGAGATTTTAGACATTAGGGATTTTGATCATTCTGGATTTCAACATTTGGGATTATGGCATTCAGGACTGTGTCTTTTGGGATTATGATGGTCACCACCTAAAATCATAAGTTTGATGTGTTATTTATATCTTTTTCTATTATACATTAAAATAAGTCAGTAACTATTGAAATATTTGTGGACTGTCTAGACTCACTCTGCACCCCATGGGATCCTTGTACCACATGTTGGGAAATGATTGTCTCAGGGCCTCCAGCATGTCTGCTCACTCCCATCCCCGGCCCTTCCTCCCCATCCTGCCGGGATTCCTCAAGTCCCACATTGGAACACGAACACTTAGAAGTAACAAAGCTCACTCTGTGCCAAGAGCAACACTAAAGTATAAATGCAATTTTATTGATAAAAGAGTACAATCAAAGCCAATATGATGTATTGGCTAGGAACAGGGAGATGACCTGGATTCAAATCTTGGTCTCCCACTTGCTCTATAAGTCATTTCACCTTCTCAGGTAGCTCAGGGGACAGCTGTGAGGATTAAATCAATTAATGTATGTTCAGGGCTTACAATGTCTGACACATGGTAAATACTGATATATATATATATATATATATATATATATATATATATATTTAATTTTTTTTCTTTTTTTTAAAAAAAAATGTTCTTTATTTTTTGAGACAGGGTCTAGCTCTGTTGCCCAGGCTGGAGTGCAGTGGTGCTATCTCAGCTCACTGCAACCTCTACCTCCTGGGCTCAAGCCATCCTCCCACCTCAATCTTCTGAGTAGCTGGGACTACAGCTGTGTGCAATCACACCCGGCTAATTTTTGTATTTTTTTTTGGTAGAGATGGGGTTTTGCCATGTTGCCCAAGCTGGTCTCTAATTCCTGGGCTCAAGTGATCCACCTGCCTCAGCCTCCCAAAGTGCTAGGATTACAGGTGTGAGCCACCATGTTTGGCCAGTAAGTGCTATATAAATGTTAGATATTATTATAGCTTGTGAGTTTTGGCAATGGAAGTTCAAAGGAAAAAGTAACCAATGAGTGTACTAAGCATCTTTCCCTTTAAAAAAAATTGGTTGGTTAGAAACTCATAGGAGTGTACTCATACCTACTCAATCTTTTGTTAAGTACTGCATGCATTTATGATGTTGGAGTATTAGGCTTTTATGAATTAGTTGGATGATACAGAATGCTCAATGATTTAAAATGGCATCTGACTGACTACAATTTAGTTATACAAATTGATTATTCTATGCAAATTTGAGGATGATACTTCTAGGCACCCCCCCCCAAAATATATTGCTCCTGTAGTTTATCTTTATTTGAAAACAGAATATTTTCACTAAAGTGTGTGTGTGAACACTCCAAATGTTTTGAAAAGGCTTTCTGTTATGACAGAGTACAACAGCAGGTATTTTGCAAATAAACTACAAAACAGTCAAACTATTTAATACTTGTTTTATTTATTTATTTATTTATTTATTTTTTTGAGACAGGGTCTTGCTCTGTTGCCCAAGCTGGAGTGCAGTAGCACAAAGATGGCTGACTGCAGCCTTGACCTCGTGGGTTCAAATGATCCTCCCACCTCAGCTTCCCAAGTAGTTAGAACCACAGGCCCACTGCCATGCCCTGGGGTCTCTCTCTGTTGCCCAGAGATGAGGGCTCTCCCTGTTGCCCAGGCTGGTCTCAAACTCCTGGGCTCAAGCAATCCTCCTGCCTTGGTCTCCCAAAGTGTTGGGATTACAGGCGTGAGCCACCTCTCTCAGCCAATTTAATAAGTTTTAATGTTTCATAACAACTGTTTCCCAGGTCATAATATGAACAATTTTTTTCCTATTTCTGTTTTGAAGTCAGGCAAGAATTAGCTTCATTTAAAATGTCCTTATTACATTTAATTGAACATTATCAATTACCTTTATGAAGAATAACAGAGGAACCGTAAAGCTGTATTTCAGCAAAACATTTTAATTATAATTCTGAAACCTAATCAGAAAAAAAATGTATTTAGTACAATGGTAATCCATTAAATACAACTCATCATTGTTAGGCTGTCTCTGTTATGGAAACTATCATGTTATGAAAAGGTTATGAAAAGGTTAGGAAACTATCATGTTATGAAAAGCTAATATTGAATCTTTTAAAAACAACTGAACTTTACCATTGCTAGAGATTTTTTGAAAAGCTGTAGATACACACGTTGGAGATAAAACAATCAAAATTACTTCCTGAAGCTAGTTTAACAGGTTCTAAATGCTAAACAAAAATTTCATGAAATGACTCAGGTGATAAGATTGTAAAAATTTCTTCCTGAAGCTATTTTGGCAGCCTCTAGGGATGTGAAATTCCCTAAGGTGCTCTAATGGGAAAAGTCCTAGAATAAGAACCAGAATCCTTGACTTCTACTCCTGCTAATAAGCTAAGTGAACTTAGGTCAGTATTTAACCTCCTACAGTTTGCTTATTTGTTCATTTGAGAGACTCACACTTTCCTCACTACTTCTATGTATTGTAGCCAGTTTCAAAATGCTGTGTGAAATTTCCCATATTATCTAATCATTTCCAACTGATTATTTTCTCAGTTACTCAGAATTTTTACTACTATCTGTGTTTCTTTGCACACAAGGTGAATCTCCCAACTCAATAAGAGATCATTGCCATTTCACATTTCCCTGCCTCCTGCCTGCATGCACACTGCTATTATGTCCCCTGGATTGTCTTTCAAAAATCCTCATTGTTGTAGGTAAAGAAGGGACCCACTCTGTCTGAGTAACTGACTGCGGAGCCCAGCCCAGACAGACACACATCCCAAGTCTCTGCTTCATCTGTCCTAGAGGAAACTGGCTCGTGGGGAATAGCCACAGTGGGTCTGATGGCCCGGCAATCTCCTGCAATTTTCATAGGAGGTGGCCCTGAAGGAGAGGCTGCCCTGGTGACTGTCACCGGAGGACCCCAGGGTTCTGGATAGACAGACATCCCAGTATCTTCAGGAGCATAGTTACAGCTCGAAAGGCTCTTCACCTCTCGCACACTGTCACTGTATTTCATAGCAGGGGGCTGGTAGGCCTGGTAGGACACTTTAGTGGTGGTGGTGATCACGGTTTGTAGGGCAGGGGCACCTGGTGGTGGAGTCGTGAGGTACCTGCAGGGAAGCTCTGGGTTATAATAAGGGCGAGTGGCCATGGCCTGAAACTGCCCATGGTTAGTCCTTTCCACAAGGCTGGGTTTTCCAAGAGCTGGTTTCCAGCCATGCTGTTTGTTGGTGAAATCAAAGCTTCTCTCATAGCTGCTGTATGAATTGACATTACATTGTAGTGTGTTCAGATGAACCCAGTCTGTGTCATTAGGGATACTGGTGGAATCCTTATAAAGGGTGGGATATGGGCTTGAATTTGTATAACCAGGGTTTGCCAATTCATAGCTGCAAGGTGGCCTAGGCAAATAGATTCTTGGGCTTGAGTATTTCTGGAAGGGTGGCATTTTGTCTCCTTGAAAGGTGGCTAGGTCACAGGTAGCTTTGTAAACATCAGACTTTGGGAAGGAAGGGCAAGGCTGCCCTGGAATAGGGAAGCTGGTTTCAGTAACTATATCAAAGTCTTCTGGATTTTCCAAGGGAGGTATGTTGCTGAAATGACCACTGCTGTCTTGATTTTCTTCTGCCTAGAAAAATGATACAAACATAGACACACGCTATGTAAATCGTGTGGACACCCTCACCTGTAACAATAGCCTAGAAGTAAGTAAAAACAGACATCCATGTGCTGGGCTCTGTGTTGTGAACATGGCACTGCTCAGGTACGTGATGTAAGCACGTGGTCCAGGGGTTGCTAAGCTTGGGCTCACTCAGACATAAATACCAACGACTGAATGACAAAGGTCCATGGTAGCCAGGTAGGATGCTTCTGAGTGGCAGATGGTCCTGTTCTCACCTATACTGTCTTCCTAATAGTGGAGACTTAGGAGCCACACGGGCCTGGGTTCAATTCCTGACTCTGTCCCTCACAAATTGTACAAGCCACTTAACCTCTCTGAGCCTCAGATCCTTCATCTTAAAAATGGAACTTAATAACAGTAACCTCATTATAAGGTTTCTGCAACCATTAAATGTGTGAAACTCTTAGACCAGTGCCTGGCACATAGGAAGTGCTGGAAAATGTCAGCTTCTGTTATCCTTACACTAACACTCTGCCTGCTTGGCGTGCTTTGGTTGAAAAGCCAAACTGAATTAAATTGCGCAGAGAAATTTTATCCATTCTTGTGGATGAAATAATGGAAAGGACCCTCTCAAGGGTGCACTGTTAACTTCCTGTTGGTAGGCACATATTTCTATCTTTATTACTGTTGCATAATCGCCCTTATATTAGGATGTCAGCTCAGCACACTGACATATCAGGACTGTATCATTGCCTGTAGAGATTGTTGCTTTTTGTTTTAAGGAGAAGGGATTAGAAACCCTGTCCAAATGTTGATTTAATGATATTTTGTTACAGACGTATAATTTTCAGATGAAATCAAACCCTTGTAATTAACGTATGACCTTCATATTTTGCATAACGATCAGCGTATCTTGGGATGAAAATGAGCTGAGACCACTGTGCACTATCAGCTCCCTGTTACCTCGGATTCTCGAATTCTCTTTTTCTGGGGTTGGTAGAAAGAGGCCATTTGTCTCTTGATGGCGCTTCTTCTAGCTTCTGTCTCTGATTTGCTCTCTGGTCTTGGATGATCATGAACTCCCTTGGCCTGCGATAACGAGAAAATGAATCATACATTTGTGCCTCTAAAGGAAGCTGACAATGTTGCCCAAAAATTGATCATGCCTTTCCCAACATCTCAAGAGTTTAGTTTTGTTTCTTTCAAAATGACAGAAAAAAAAATTCTTGAACAAATAAAACAGGCTCAAGAATTGACATCTGAAAAGATCACCTGCAATCCCTTCACTCTATTAAAAGAACTATAACTTGGTTTACCATCTGTGTACCTTAAAGAGCACAAAGTAGTGAGTGAATTTCTAGGCTCCCGCTAGGTCCCTGGGGAGCTCCAGCACCTATTTCTGGCCACTGGGGCTGTATTTTGTTTGGCCCAGGGTTCCCAAGGCACACGACAGGTGGTTTGGCCTTTGTGGTCTGATGAAAAGTATCCATCACAAATTGTGTTCTCACCTGACCTACCTGAAAAAAGATCGCGTTGCCATCAAGCCGCCAAAAGTTGGTTACGGGGTATCCGCTGTGCCCTCGACAAGGAATCAACTCCAAAGCAGAATGACAGTTAGGGCATGCCTTCTCTGCAAAGCCCAGAAGGGAGAAATATTAACCCTGACCCCAGACCCTTCTGAAGGAAGAAGGGGAAAATTAGCTGGGAACAAAGAACTCATGCTCGGGCGCGGTGGCTCACGCCTGTAATCCCAGCACTTTGGGAGGCCGAGGCGGGTGGATCACTTGAGGTCAGGAGTTCAAGACCAGCCTGACCAACATGGAGAAACCTTGTCTCTACTAAAAATACAAAATTAGCCGGGTGTGGTGGCTCACGCCTCTAATCCCAGCACTTTGGGAGGCCGAGACAGGCAGATCACCTGATGTCGGGAGTTCAAGACCAGCCTGACCAACATGGAGAAACCCTGTCTCTACTAAAAATGCAAAATTAGCCGGGCGTGGTGGCGCATGCCTGTAATCCCAGCTACTTGGGAGGCTGAGGCAGGAGGATCGCTTGAACCCGGGAGGCGGAGGTTGCAGTGAGCTGAGATTGCACCATTGCAGTCCAGCCTGAGTGACAGAGTGAGGCTCCATCTCAAACAAACAAACAAAAACAACAACAACAAAAAACTCATGACTCCAAGGTCACCCTCTCCCTGGCCCCATGTCCTCACTCTGCTGTTTCAGCCGTGCCTTGTCGCAGATGGCCGGCCTCAGCTGCAGGCGGGAACCGTCGGGCAGGGTGCAGGCCTGTGTACACACCACCACACCCAGGCACGACTTCTTGAGGATGTGGCCATTGTGGTTGTTGGTGTTGCGCATGGCCCAGCCGCTCAGGTGACGCTGTGCCTTCTTCTCATCGCTGCTGTAGATGAAGCGCACATAGCCGTCAGGCCACTCTCGGAATTGGTCAAAGAGGGCCAGCTCCTGGAAGAGTGCAGAAGGAAGGGTGGTCAGTCTATCCAGTCCAAACTGCACACATCATGCTCTAAAATTTCTCTGAGCACATTAGGATACAAACCAGTTCTTTTTAAATCCAGTAACGTCAAATTCCAAAATGCCACTCTTTCTATGTAAGACTTCCTGACAACCAGGTAATAATTAATGTTTATATAGTGCTTATCTGTTAAATGCTATACATGTATTAGTTCATCTAGACTTCAAATTATAGGCAAACAATTATTTCCAATTTGCCGATGAGGACATGGAGGCCAGAGAGGTTAATCGACTCGCCCAAGGTCACATCACACAGCTAGCAAGATCTGGATCCAGGATTTGCACCCTGGCAGTCCCATTCCAGAGCCTGTACTTCTTACCACTATGTTATATCACTTCTTGGTGTGTTTAAATGTTGAAAACATTTTTAAGTTAGGTATCAAAGTACCAGGGGAAAAAGTGATTGGAATGTTCTATCACTGAAATGCAATTTAACTGGTAAATATCTTTAAGTCAGTGCATTTTCTTCAAAAGCACTTGGCTCTGTATGCCAAACCTGTCAGTCACATTAGCAGTGGCACCCAGAGTAATGTCAGAGAGGAAAGAACAGCTTCCCTCCCTACTCTCAACTTGGCTCTCCAAGTTTAAAAGGGTACTGCAATGAGGGACTTAAGCCATGAGCTTTGGGGTGTGGGTGAGCTTGTCTGGCACGGGACTGCTCCCCAGAGCAATATGGGACTGTCATTCTCCTCAACAAAGAGCCACATGGCTGCAATAATAAGTTGTATCTAAAATACTGAGCATTGCCTTAGTATTCATATTTGGTAGTCTTTGTCAATTTAATGCATTATTTACACTGCAATAAATGTCACTTTTGCATATAAGTTTCATTGAAAAATCACCCTTTACTGAGCACTTCCTTTTTTCTTTTTTTTGAGATGGAATCTCACTCTGTCACCCAGGCTGGAGTGTAGTAGCATGATCTCAGCTCACTGCAACCTCCGCCTCCCAGGTTCAAGTGATTCTCCTGCCTCAGCCTCCTGACTACCTGGGACTATAGGTGCATGCCACCACGCCTGGCTATTGTTTGTATTTTTAGTAGAGATGGGGTTTCACCATGTTGGCCAGGATGGTCTTGATCTTCCTGACCTCATGATCCACCCACCTTGGCCTCCCAAAGTGCTGGGATTACAGGCATAAGCCACCATGCCCGGCCACTGAGCACTTTCTTTTATGTAATGTTTAGGGCTGCTTTCACACTACAGTGCAGAATTGAATATTTGGAACAGAAACAGTATGACCTGCAAAGCCATATTATGCAATATATATAATTCTCACAACATCTTTGCAAGATGGACATCTTTACTCTTGTTTACTAAATAAGGAAGTGGAGGTTCAATAGATAACCTTTCACAGTGGCATAGCTGGAATATAAACAGAAGATGGGTAGCAGCCAGACCCAGTAGCTTTGCTGGTGTAATAAAGGCTCAGAAGAGTGTATAATAGCAGTAAGCCATTTGCATCTCCTCCCCACTCTTGCCACTCAGGAAAATTAGATCAAACATTTGCAAAGCTGAAGTATTCACAGTTGGAAAATTCAGACTTGTATACATCATTAATACTGCACATTCTAACAGTAATAAGGTTAATGGGTGATTTTGTTTCCAAAATTACAAAGATATTGTTGAAATCATTATTACTACCATAGGTATTATTTATCTTTTCTCTGAAATATTACAATTGACATGATACATCAATGTAAGGTAAGTCACAAATGAAATATATAATGATGTGCTATCAACTCCAAGCTTATATTAAATGCTAATATCTTTGTTTTAAAAGTGAATATTTTAACTTAAGGATCTTAGTAACAAATTGACAATTTTCCAGAAAACAGCATTTCTTTAGCTCTCCCTTAAGGATGTAGACTAGGCCCCCATGCCTCACACGAGCTACTGAGGTAGTGACCCTGGCAATGAAGCCACAGAGATTGTATTTTTAAAATCAGTACAAGAATAGAGGATGTCAAGGATTGGGTTTCACTTGCTCTCAAGTGTTGGCATGTTGTGTGTGTGTGTACATACACACACATAGACACTGAACCTGATCGTAGACCTGGAGGAGAGTTTGAGATGGTTATCTCACTCTACCACTTGATGACAAGTGAGTAAGTAGCCTGAGACTAAGGCAAATTCAAGGACTCTCTCAAGGTCAGACAGGTAGTTTAACTTGCTCACTCGGTTACCCAGAGCAGGGCGATGCTAAGTTTCTTCACTTCTCCATGTCCCAGTGTGCCTGGCCCGTTTGAGATATTACACACATGCTTCCTGCTTAACAACCAGTCTCCTAAAAAAAAGTTCATATTGACATGGGAAGTCTAGCAAATGCTTGAGAGATGAACCATAATTACATTACTTGGATGTGACTTTTCTAAAATGCAAGATATGATTGTTTCCTGTGAAGATGTACATGGACAGAAACAGAATGAGATGCACTTGCTGTACTGTGGTCCACTTTCATGAAAATGGTACCATGTGACTCTAAAGTAGGCAGACTTTAAAACAAAGGAGTGGGCCAGGCACGGTGGCTCACGCCTGTAATCCCAGCACTTTGCGAGGCTAAGGCGGGTGGATCAGCTGAGGTCAGGAGTTCGAGACCAGCCTGACCAACATGGAGAAACCCAATCTCTACTAAAAATACAAAATTAGCTGGGCGTGGTGGCGCATGCTTGTAGTCCCAGCTACTCGGGAAGCTGAGGCAAGAGAATCGCTGGAGCCTGGGGGATGGAGGTTGCAGTGAGCTGAGATCGTGTGATTGCACCCCAGCCTAGGCAACAAGAGCTAAACCCCGCCTCAAAAAACAAACAAACAACAACAAAAAACCCCAACAAACAAACAAAAACAAAGGAGTAAAACACACCTAACCTACTACAAATATATGGATCCAAAAAAGTGCTGACCTCTATGAGAGGCGACACAATGTTGCAATGAATTGTTATTCATCTGAACACCTATCAGACACATTTTAGTTGCGGACAAAATGACCCATCTCTTTTATCCCTGTGCCACAACATTGCTGGAAGCCCACATCTGCAAATGGCAGGGAAGCAACTCTCATTCTACACCCCCCACCCCCTACAGCCAGGACTTCAACATCACTCAATTTTGGCCCTAACCAGTGTGACTAATGATAATTGGTCATTCTCTGGAACTGGCTTCAAACCACCCACTTCATTCACCACTTCATCCACCCCAGTCATTCTTTGGACTTGGCTCCAAACCATTTTTGCTTTATTGAAATAAAGCAAAATACAACAAATTCACCCTAAAAGAATGATGATTTGCTTGTCATTAGAGAAGAAGTAAGTTTTGGGTACAGGTGGCCTTGTTGGCATGACTATGGGGCCTCCTTCCTCTGAGCAGTTAGGGAGGTCTGAGCAAATTGCTCAAGTCGGGCTACTTGTTTTAAATTTAGGTCATTAGATTCACTTTACAGTTGTACCTCAGTTTTGCTGCATGAGAAGCAGTGGTATTTACATCTGCTTAGATTTTCTCCTTAGCTTCCTCATGGATTTAAAGTAAATGAATAAGGAGAGAGGCACCTAATTTCTACCTTGGTTAAAGGGAAGTGAAAGGACAGGCGTCCCGCTCTCCCCAAGACTGGGAATGTGGAGCCTGACCAACATTTCCTGCTGCTTTGCTTGTGATTTCAGGCAAGCACAAGGAAATTGCTGGGAGAAGACACATTTCTTCTTCTTCTTCTTCTTCTTTTTTTGAGATGGAGTTTTGCTCTTGTTGCCCAGGCTGGAGTTCAATGGCGTGATCTTGGCTCACCGCAACCTCTGCCTCTCGGGTTCAAGCGATTCTCCTGCCTCAGCCTCCCGAGTAGCTGCGACTTTAGGCATGCGCCACCACGCTGGGCTGATTTTGTATTTTTGGTAGAGACGGGGTTTCTCCATGTTGGTCAGGCTGGTCTTGAACTCCCGACCTCAGATGATCCACCCGCCTCAGCCTCCCAAAGTGCTGGGATTACAGGTATGAACCACAGCGCCCGGCCAAGAAGACACATTTCTAAACCCAACTCAGCCTTTTGTAGAGTCCAGTTTTCTTTCTACACTTGAGAGGGCCTCAGAAACCCAGAAATTTTGCGGGTATGTGTGTGTGTGTGTGTGTGTGTGTGTGTGTGTGTGTGTGTGTGTGTGTGTGTATGGTCCGTCCGCAGACTCTTCAAGAACTCGAATGCCATTCTCCCTCCTTCGGATGGACAGCGCCCCGCGTGCCCGCACACACCCGGTTCACTTACCTGAGGCATCTGCGGATCGTTGATGTCCCAGCTGAGCTGCATCCCGTAGGAGCACACGCCGACCGCTTCCTGCACCGCGGCCGCCGGCATCTGCCCAACTCGCTCGCGCTTTCCGCCCAGGGTTCTGAAAAATAGAAGAAAAAAGGACAGGTGCGCCAGGTGGGTTTTTTTTCTTCTCTTTAAAGAAGAAAGTGGGGTGTGTGAAGGGGAGGTGCAGAGAGAGAGAAAGAGAGAGAGGCTGTTTAGATATCTGGAAGCTGGGGACAATGGTTATGGACCCGGGCGGGGCCTTGTCCTTGGCCGCGGTGCTGAACGTTCTCCACCCGAACGGCAGCATCGACCTCTGGCAGCTGCCCCCTCCTTTATAAAGATATACCTCCGGGGGGCTCCGCCCTGTCTCGCCTACCTCGCTAGCGCCCACGCTCCAGGGGCCGGTCGCCCCCTCCACCACAGTCCCAGGAACGGAGGTGGAGGTTAAACTCAGCCCTGGAAGCAAATGGAAACTGCAGCCAGAGGGTGGGGGTGGAGAGGGTAAGTAGGAATGTATCCTTTAAGTTTAAAACCTTATTATTTTCTTCTTTTCTTTTCTTCTTTTTTGTCTCACTCTGTTGCCCAGGCTAGAGTGCAGTGGCGCCATCTCAGCTAACTGCAACCTCTGCCTCCCAGGTTCAAGCGATTCTCCTGCCTCAACCTCCCGAGTAGCTGGGAATACAGGTCCGTGCCACCACCCTGGCTAATTTTTGTATTTTTAGTAGAGACAGGTTTTAGCCATGCGAAACCCTGACCAAGCTGGTCTTGAACTCCTGACGATCTGCCCGCCTGGGCCTCCCAAAGTGCTGGGATTACAGGCGTGAGCAACCGCGACCGGCCTATTTTTTTTCTTTTTTCTAAACGCGTCCAGCTTCCCTGATTTCGGAAAGGGGCTTAGATGGAGGCTTTCCAGCAAAGTCCCCTGAGAGCCAACACTCAATTCCAGGAGAGCATGGGAACCGTGCGTGGGCCCCTCTGCCGTCCGCGTGCGCCCTAGCCTGAATAACCGCGCCCACGCCTCCTAGTTAGGGGTCAGCCCATTTTGGGCCTCCACTGCCGGCTCTTCCCCTAACTATTGTGAGTGTCTCGCAGTCTTGGCTCTGCTGTTTGGGACGTGCCAGGGTGCGCCAAGCCTCCGCGTATGCTCGCGAGCCCAGGCGCCTTCACGCTCCCGGGGACTTCGGAGGGACCTGGCCCTGCAGGAACGGAGTCCTACAAAGTGAACCTGGAGGAGGTGGGGGGCGGAAATGAGCCCGGGGTAGGTGGGAGCCTGGGGTAGGTGGGAGCCTGGGGAAGGAGGGAAAGGGGAGAGGGGAAAAGTCCCAAAGAACTCGCTTTCTCCACTGCTTTGGCTCCCTCTGGGTCTCAGCTTCCTTATCTGTTTATCTGTTAAATAAGAGGTTGTGGTTCGGCGAGCTCTCAGTTGCCACCCACCCGAACACAAATCTTTTTTTTTTTTTTTTTTTTTGAGACGGAGTCTCACTCTGTCTTCCCGGCTGGAGTGCAGTGGCGCAATCTCGGCTCACTGCAACCTCCGCCTCCCAGGTTCAAACGATTCTCCTGCCTCAGCCTCCCGAGTAGCTGGAACTACAGGCGCGCCATCGCGACCAGCTAATTTTGTATTGTTAGTAGAGACAGGGTTTTACCAAGTTGGCCAGGATGGTCTCGATTTTTTGACTTCGTGATCCTCCTGTCTCGGCCTCTCAAAGTGCTGGGATTAAAGGCGTGAGCCACCGCGCCCGGCCCACAACTCTTAAAAAAAAACTTCACTGATATAGTCTTGGAAATATCACGACGAAATTGAATTTACTCCATTACAGTCTTGGGAGGCTTTGGAGGACTAGAGAATCGCGGTGGTGCGGAGGTGCGCAGGACAATGTGGGTTCTCCGGGGCTGGGACGAAACCTTCATCATCTGAGCAGCCGACTCGCCCAGGGCTACTCCGGCACATGGAGACCCTCAGTATATATATATATAAAAAAAACAAAAAACAAAAAACAAACAAAACAAAACAAAACCGATTGAAGTGACTAAAGTCACTCTTTGACTACCCCAAGGCCGGATTCTTGGCGGCCAGGGGAAAGGGCTTCTGGAATTTATTGCCCGCGTCCTTGTTTTGCAGCTGCACGCTTCCATTCCCAGCCCCAGCCAGAGAAGAGGAGCCAACTCCTCACGGCAGATCCCTTGATAGAGGAGGATGAACCGAATCCATGACCCTCCAGACCCGGGAAGCGACGCACCCTAGGCCTTGGCACCGCAAAGCCCGTGCTGAGCGCACGGACGGGTGCTGCCCGGGACTCGGCCAGGAGGGCGCCCATGCCAACGCCTCTTGCAGGATTAGTGCCTTCGGTTGGCAAAAGGCGGATAAAGGAAGAGCGAAACCACATCAGGAAGCTAAGGGTGGTCCACGCTCCCTGTCCTTTTACTTCCCGCGCCAAAGGCACAGTGAGGCTTGCTTAGAAAAGTCCATCCCGCGATTGGGCGCAGTGGCTCATGCCTGTAATCCCAGCACTTTGGGAGGCCGAGACGGGAGGATCGCTTGAGCCCAGGAGTGCAAGACCAGACTGGGCAACATGGCGAAACCCTGTCTCTTCGAAAAAAAAAAAAAAAAAAAAAGCCGGGCATGGTGGCGTGTGCCTGTAGTCCCAGCTACTTGGGAGGCTGAGGCGGGAGGATCGCTTGAATCCAGGAGGCAGTGGTTGCAGTAACCTGAGATAGCGCCGAGCCTGGGCGACAGAACGAGACCCTGTCTCAAAAAAAAAAAAAAAAAAAAGGAAGGAAAGAAAGACAGAAAGAAAGAGAGAGAGAGAGAGGAAGGAAGCAAGGAAGGAGAAAGAAAAGAAAAAGAAAAAAAAAAGAAAAGGAAAGAAGAAAGAAAAAGTATCCCAGTCGGTCAGAGAAGCCTGCCAGTGGCAGCGGACCAGCGAACTCTGTTGGGAAGAAAGGCCAACTTCGAGCAGTTCCTCGCGATTTTTTCCTCCTTTATCTTCTAGCTGGGGTCCTCCTCCCAGTCAAAGCCGAAGGGTCCTAGCAGAAGAAAGTGATTTGTTCATTCCCAGCCTCCTTTCTCCCGAAGTTCTCCCCTCCTAAAAGGTCCTGTCAGTCAAGGTTTCTGATTAAAATCACTCTCAAATGGTCGCCACTGAGGTCTAGCTGGGAACGAAGAGATCTGTCTACTCTTCACCCACGAGTTTCATTCACAGATTTTTCATCTTATTAACTGTCTGCCAAAGGTCCCCGAAACTCCTGTTGATTCAGTTGCTTTTCGTGTTGTTTTGTCTTCCAAAATTGAATGAAAATTTATTGATTATCCATTTTAATTATAGTATTTCATTAAATGTTGTAGTCTAAGATAACTTATCCTTTCAAATGTTCTAAAAATAACTTTAAAATGGTGATTTAAAGTTACCTCTGAAAATGCATAGAAATTAATTTTTGGTCTTATTGCAGTGCTAGAATAGTTCTTGTCTCTGTGCTTTTGGAATGTTCCTAGAGAGACCTGACCCGTCAAAAACATAAATAAATAAAACTTTTTTATGTAAAAGGCAAATCAATTAATTTCTAAAGGGATTCTGGTATCCAAAGAAATGTCATAGAGCCTCTACTATATTTAGTTTGAGAAGAATTAGAGTATGCATTTCAAGTTGCCATAAATTATATTAAGACAAAACATGTTAGTAAAAGAAGCTAATCAAAGTAAAAAAAAAACCAGATAAAAGGTATTTTGCCTATTCTGTTATTTTTAATTTCTCTTAAAGATTTGAATGCATTGCACCATAGACTTTGGAAGGACATGTTTTCCCCCAAAGCCTGAAAATAATAGATGATTAAGTTTTCTATCTAATATTATGAAAACTCTAATTTTTAAATATTCTCTTAAAATTCATTTAAACTGTAGTATTTTGTTTATTGCTTCTTATTATTCATTGTTTCTTTCTTGCCCTGGTATTATATTTGTATTGACTCACAATAGCTTATACTCACAGCTGTTCCTGTCTTGATTACTAGTTTAATATTACAAAAGTCCATTCATTGAAAAGGAAAAAAACTTGCGTTTGAATTTCCTTGGTTTAGATTAAAATAGGTAAATTAATGTAAGAATGTTTACATTATACTTTCCAGGAAATTGATATGACAGGCTTTGACATAAACATTGTTTTGAACGGACTAGAAATGTGTGCAAGTCCTGGGCTAACAGGGGTTCTGGTTTTGTTATGTTTTGCTTTGGTGTAGACAAATATCTTCCGTACATATTATGACTTGAAATACTCACAGGTCTAGTTATAATACAAGTTGATTTTTACACAAAGGATGTTTGGATTGGAGGGGTCTTTTTTTTGTTTTTTGTGGAAAACTCTAGTCCAATTTAATTTTGCCACCGTGTTCACACAACTGGCCACCTATCCGAATCAGCCTAGCCATTGGTACGCATACTTGTCAGGTTAAAGGAAATAGGCAAACAAAGAAACAAAAAAACAAAAACAAAAACAAAACTATTTGCTTTGATTAAAAAAAAAAATTCCCCTTCCTCCCCACCACGGTACTTAAAAAACAACCACCAAACACACTTTGTGTGTGTGTGAAATCAGGAATGTATTAATAATATCGGGTACAAGTCTGGTTACCATAGGAAAGGGTTCGGCTTCTGTCTGCACACATCAATGGACCAAAAACTGCTCCTCTGGCTGTTTTTTTTTTGAGACGGAGTCTCACTCTGTCCCCCAGGCTGGAGTGCAGTGGCGAGATCTCCGCTCACTGCAACCTCCGCCTCCCGGGTTCAAGTGATTCTCCTGCCTCAGCCTCCCCAACAGCTAGGATTACAGGCACGTGCACCGCGCCCGGCTAATTTTTTGTATTTTTAGTAGAGACAAGGTTTCACCATGTTGACCAGACTGGTCTTGAACTCCTGACCTCAAGTGATCCACCAGCCTCGGCCACCCAAAGTGCTGGGATTACAGGCGTGAGCCACCGCGCCTGGCCGCCCCTCTGGCTTTTTAAGGCGGGGCAAAAACTTGGAACAGCTACCACAAAGCGAACGCCTATCTGTTTGGAATTTCGCAAATAAGGAACGTTTAAATGACGTAGTTCACATCCTTTGAGTGCTGGCTTTCTCTTAAAGGGTGAGTGCGTGCGCCCAGGTGGTTTGGCCTGTGTGCGCTAGTTACTTGCACGCGCTTCTTGAGTCTCAAAACACAGAGCTCTAGTAAACTTCAGGGGGCGGATTCGTCAATTACAGTTGCGGAAGAAGACTCGACTCGAAGAGCGGTCCGCCACCAGGGCTCTTTCGGCAGCGCCCCCAGCGGGCGGGGCTCTTGGGCGGGGAAGCAGGAGAGGGCCGACCGAGCGCAACAAAGCTGAGCGGCGCGTCGCTTCAGGAACGAAGAAGCCTCGTTATGCAAGCGGTGAGTGACCCCCGAAGGGCCCGGACCTTCTGTCCACAGTGCTAGGGCGCGCGAGGGCGCGGGGTCCCTGGGGCTCAGGTTCTGCCGCCTTGAGGTGTTCGCTCAGAGACCGGGTGCTGGGCATAGTCCCCCGCCACCTCCTTGGGTTTGCTCGGAGTGTATTGGCAGCCTGCGGGGAGACCAGGCAGAATAGAAACCTCGGATCCCTAGCTAAATAGCGCTCAGGGAAAGGGGAACCGGAGAATTCGTGTTCGGAAAGCAATGAGATAGTTCTTTTCTAGTTGCTTTGCGTATTTTCCTAGCCGGTTTTCCAGCCCTCTTTCCACCTTGCTGCGTAGAAAGTGCAGAAGTGTTAAGCAACCCCAAGTGCTGGGACTTCATTTAACCGAACGACAAAGGACAGCCCCTAAGATAAAGCTACAATTATTACTTATCAATAAATAATAAAAAAAAACACATGAAGTTTGAGCCCACCCAGGGACGCCAAAAACAACAAACAAAAACCACCTGGGGCGTGTTTCTAACATTCTTCTGCCTGGGTTCCTGGTGGTAGAAATTCTGATGTAATTGGTCTACGGTGGGCCGGTAGTTTGTTAGTTTGTTAGTGAGGACGCCAGGTGATTCTGATAGCCAGGGGTAACTGCTTGCCTAGATCCAGGAACTCACTCTTGTTCTCCATAAAATCCATCTGTCATCTGGCGCCATCTTCCCAGCCATGGGGAAACAGATTTGGGACAGAAACCTTTCTAACATCAAGCTACGCTTAAATTCAGAGCACTTAAGCATAACCTCCTCACCCTCTCCATCCCTGTTACATTGAAAGCTGCCATTCACTGAGCCATTTTTATGTGCCCAGGCACTATGCTAAGAACATTACAGACATTCTGTCAGTCAGTCCTCACTCCAATCCTTCCATATAGGTGTTACCATCTTTTTTTTTTTTTTTTTTTTTTTTTTTTTTTTTTTTTTTTTTTTTTTTGAGACGGAGTCTCATTCTGTCGCCCAGGCTGGAGTGCAGTGGCGTGATCTTGGCTCACTGCAACCTCTGCCTCCCGGGTTCAAGCGATTCTCCTACCTCAGCCTCCCGAGTAGCTGAGACTACAGGCGCGCGCCACCACGCCAGGGTAATTTTTGTATTTCTAGTAGAGACGGGGTTTCACCATGTTGGCCAGGATGGTCTCTGTCTCTTGACCTCATGATCTGCCCGCTTCGGCCTCCCAAAGTGCTGGGATTACAGGCGTGAGCCACAGCGCCCGGCTATCATCATGTTTTTTAAATGAGGAGACTGAATCTCAGAGAATCTAACGATCTTTTCTGCCTAAACCATCCCACTTTCTGATTTTCCTGTCAGGTTCCTACCCACAAAAGCTGCCACATGATCTTCACAGAAGGGGGATACCTTTCTGTGTACTAGAGTGGCTCCAGAAATTCCAGAAACAGGAAGCATTTCTTTGGAATTTGCAAAGTACTGACCACCAAGGCCAGAGAAGGTTGAAAGGAGGTAGAAATAAAAATAAGCAGAGCATCTCTGCATACGAATTGAACTGAAGGAGAGATAGGGCCGTGTCTATAGAGAAAAGAGGTAAAGAAGCTTAACATAAAGGCTCCCGGGAATATTTTCTTTGGGATGGGAAGTATTTCCCACTAATTCAGAATTTGTTGACAAAACTTAGAAATTATAGATACGTAGCATAGTGTTTATTTGATGTCAGTTTATGCTATGAATTAACACCCTTTTTTTTTTGATACGGAGTCTCACTCTGTCACCCAGGCTGGAGCGCAGTGGCTGGATCTCGGCTCACTGCAACCTCCACCTCCTGGGTTCGAGTGATTCTCCTTCCTCAGCCTCACGAGTAGCTGGGTCTACAGTCACGTGCCACTGCGCCCAGCTAATTTTTGTATTTTTTAGTAGAGACGGGTTTCACCATATTGGACAGGCTGGTCTCGAACTCCTGACCTCATGATATGCCCGCCTTGGCCTCCCAAAGTGCTGGGATTACAGGCGTGAGCCACTGCGCCTGGCCTAACACCCAATTTTAATTGTAGCTTTAGCTGTTCCTCCTATCTCACTTTTGCCTCTACTCAATTATCCACTAACACAATGGTTCTTTTTCTTTGCCTTTATCATTTATTTTTAATTGACACATATATTAATTGACACATAGTAATTGCACATGTTAATTGGGTGTAGTGTGATATTTCCATATGTGTATACAGTGTGTAATGATCAAATCAGGGTAATTATGCATATCCATCACCTCAAATATTTATTTCTTTGTGTTGGGAATGTTCAAAATCTACTCGTATAGCTATTTGAAAATATACAATAAGTTGTACATTATAGTCACCTTGCAGTACTATCTTACTCTAGAACTTACTCCTTCCAGCTAGCTGTAATTTTGTGTTCATTAACTAACCTCTGCCTATCTCACTTCCTCTTTTCTAGTGACCACTATTCTCTCTACTTCTATGAGATCAGCCTTTTTTTTTTTTTTTTTTTTTGAGATGGAGTTTCACTCTTGCTTCCCCAGCTGGAGTGCAATAGTGCAACCTTAGCTCATTGCAACCTCCGCGTCCCGGGTTCAAGCGATTCTCTTGCTTCAGCCTCCCCCGTAGCTGGGATTACAGGCATGCGCCACCCTGCCCGGATAATTTTCTATTTTTAGTAGAGACAGGGTTTTGTCATGTTGGCCAGGCTGGTCTCCAACTCCTGACCTCAGGTGATCCACCCACCTCGGCCACCCAAAGTGCTGGGATTACAGGCATGAGCCACCGCACCCGGCCGAGATCAGCTTTTTTAGCCTCTACATGTGATCAAGAACATGCAGTGTGTCTGTCTGTGCCCCGCTTATTTCATTTAGCATAATGTCCTTCAGGCTCATGCATGTTACCATGAATGACAGGATTTTGTTCTTTTTTCTGGCTGAAAAGTATTCCACTGTGTGAATATACCACATTTTCTTTATCCATTCATCCACTGATGGACACTTAAGTTGATTCCATATCTTGGCTATTATGAATAGCGCTGCAGTAAACATGGGAGTGCAGATATGCCTTTGACATACTGATTTCTTTTCTTTTGGATATATCTCCAGGAGTGGAATTGCTGGATTTATGATAGTTTTTTGAGGAACCTCCATACTGTTTTCCATATTGTCTATACTAATTTACATTCCTACCAACAGTGTACAAGAGTTCCTCTTTTTCCATATCCTTGCCAGCATTTGTTGTTTTTTGTCTTGATAATGGCCATTCTAACTGGGGTAAGATAATATCTCATTTTGGTTTTGATTTGCATTTTCCAATGATTAGTGATGTTGAGTATTTTTTCATATACCTGTTGGTCATTTGTATGTCTTCTTTGGAGAGATGTCTATTTAGCTTATTTACCCATTTTTAATTGGATTGGTTATTTTGCTGTTGAGGTGTTTGAGTTCCCTGTATATTCTAGATATTAATGGCTTGTTGGATGCATAGTTTGCAAATATATTCTCCCATTCTGCTGGTTGTCTCTTCACTCTATTATTTCCCTTTCTGTAAGAAGCTTTTTGGTCTGTATAATTTCATTTGTCTATTTTTGCTTTCATTGCCTGTGATTTTGAGGTTTTCTCCATAAAATCTTTGCCCAGACCAATGTCCTAAAGTGTTTCCCCTATATTTTATTCTAGTAGTTTGGGATCTTAAGTGTAAGCTTTTAGTTTATTTTGAGTTGATTTTTGTATATGGTGAGACATGGGATCTGGTTTCATTCTTCCACATATAAATATCCAGTTTTCCCAGCACCAGTTATTGAAGAGACTGTCTTTTCCCCATGAATGTTCTTGACACCTTTGTCAAAAATCAGTTGGCTATAAAAAAGTAGATTTATTTTGGGTTTATCTATTCTGTTCCATTGGTCTACATATGTGTCTGTTTTTATGCCAGTACCATGCTGTTTTGTTCCTATAACTTTGTAGTATATTTTGAAGTCAGGTACTATGATGCCTTAAAGACACTTTTATTTAACTTTATTTTACAAGCTCTCATTCTGAAAATGGTTTATTAGTTCAAAGCCTTTTTACTTCTACTTTATAATCATCATTATAGAGTTTGTTTATTTTGTGTGATTATTTATTCAAATGATGTTTGCTTTGCTTCTTCTGATAGTTTGTACTGTATTTGTCTTAGACCATGCTAAAGAAGGTTGGATAAAGTTTTTCTCTTTTTTCTAAGTACTATTTTACTTAGACCTATAATATGAGCAAACAAAAATTTCTGTTCAGGAAAACAATACAAACCTTTAATTTTTTTTTTTTTTTTTTTTGCTTTGTGTTTAAAACTTGAAATGCATTTCTTTGAAATAAAAATTGTTTAAAAACATGTTTTTATTCCACACAGAAAAACAAAGATGCTTTGCAGCCTATTAAGGAAGACAGGACTGGGAAGGCCCAGGATGATGCTTTCTGGGTAAAGATCAAGTTTCTTTTATAATCTCTCTCTGTGTGTGTGTGTGTGTGTGTGTGTGTGTGTGTGTGTGTGTGTGTGTGTGTATGTGTATATGAGTGTATGTATTCTTTCTAGTTCTGTGTTCCCTGGGTCATTAGCAAACTTGTTCCTCCAGTTGCTCAAATCAGAAGCAGAGAAATCTTTACTTCTCCTTCCCTAATCTCTCATGTCCAATTTATTACTATATCTAGTCAATTTACCATTAGCTATCTTACCAATATCCTAGTCTAAACTATCTTGTGCCCTGTGCAGATATCTTGTGCCCTAAATGCAGATAGATGATACTGAACAAACTAGAAACAACGTCTGCCTTTATGGAGCTTATAGACTGGCAGAGAGCCAAAGAAGCAGGAAGAAAAAGAACAGGGTAATGAGATGGGGAATAATTGGGAATGTTGAGGAGGCACCTGGTCTACGTAAGATAAGGTGGTCCTGGAAGATCTACCTGAAAAAGTGATGCTTAAGCTGTGATCTGAGTGGAACCAGCCATGTGGAAAGTGGTGGGGTGAAGTAGCCCAGGCCTAGAACAGCCAGTTCAAAGGCCCCGAGGCAAGGAAGAGCTTGACTTATCCTAGGACTCATTAGCAAGGAGGTCAGACTGTCAGAGATCAGATCATGCCACGTTCTGCGGACTAAAGCAAAGGATTTTGGGTTTATTTTTAATGCAGAGGAAGCCATGGCAAAGTTTTGTTTTGTTTTAACGGGATCTCACTCTGTTACCCCAGCTGGAGTGCAGTGGTACAATCATGGCTTACTGCAGCCTTGACCTCCTGGGCTCAAGTGATCCTCCTGCCTCAGCCTTCTGAGTAGCTGTGACTACAGCCATGAACCACCACACCTGGCTAGTTTTTCATTTTTTGTAGAGACTGGGTCTCAATATATTGCCCAGGCTGATGTCAAACTTCTGGGCTTAAGCGATCCTCTTGCCTTGGCCTCCTAAAGTGCTGGGATTACAGGCGTGAGCCCTGCGCCTGGTAATGGCAGAGTTTTAAGCAGGTAAAAGGGAGTGAATTTCAGCTGAGCAATCTCACATAAGTTTGTAACCTTTCCTATCCTTGCTACTTGTATCCTGAGATAAAGAACCTAACCTCTCAGGACCGTGGTAAGGATTAAATAATAACATCTGCAGAACACTTAACACACTTGGCACAAAAAAGCTCACTATGTGTTAACTTAAAAAAGAAAACATTCTGTTTAAATGGAATAATTTTAAATGCTGTTTTCCCTTTTAATTCAGTACTAAGAATAAGTGGAATTGTGGGCTGTATATAGTAAATTGCTTCCTTATTAAAATAGTATTGTATATTTAACCTGTAAGATTTTTTTAAAGATAAAAAATCTTTTATAGTTTAAATGTTTAAGGAAATGTCTGTTATTCAAGTATATATACTTTTTTTTTTTTTTGAGACAGAGTTTTGCTCTTGTTGCACAGGCTGGAGTGCAGTGGTGCGATCTCGACTCACCGCAACCTCCGTCCTAGGTTCAAGCGATTCTCCTGCCTCAGCCTTCCAAGTATTACAGGCATGCGCCACCACGTCTGGCTAATTTTGTATTGTTGGTAGAGATGGGATTGCTCCATGTTGGTCAGGCTGGTCTCGAACTCCTGACCTCAGGTGATTCGCCTGCCTTGGCCTCCCAAAGTGCTGGGATTACAGGCGTGCGCCACTGCACCCGGCCCTTCAAGTATATGTACTTAGAAGCATGTCTTAGCTAATGTGCAGGCAGAAAAGATGAATTTCATTCATTATGGTCAATTTGCATACTTATTATCTATAATTATTAGTATTATTTTTCTTCCTTCTATTATGATCATTTATGTCACTTAGTGAGTGATCATAGGCTTGAAATTTTTAGTGTTTTAGAATTCCCAACATTGCTGAGGATCTTCACCTAATGATATCTGAAACTGAAGTGTTGTTTTCCTTGGGTCAGTGGTTCCCAGACTTCAGCATGCACGAGAATCACGTGAAAGGCTCTGCCCTGAGTGTGAGTGCTAAGAAGTCCCCAGGTGATGCCAGCGCTGTTGGTGGTCTAGGAACCACATTTTGGGAACTCTTGTCTTAAACCAACGGAAACATCAATCATTTGTGAAATGATTGTTTACTATTCAAGATAGAGATCTCCATTCTATATTTACCCTATATTATTTCACACTGAATTCTTATTGATAATGAGATCAGTTAGAAAATTACTATAAAATAAATGTTCTTGGGGAAAAAGTAATTTGCAAACTATCATCTTTCCAGCTTCAATCACTTATTACGGATGCATTCCATGATAAAGGATTTCAGAAAATAAAAGAATACTTTCAACAGAAAGAGAGCCACTTTCCTCAAAAATATAATCGTCTTCTATTATACCGTCTTGACAGATCAATAAATAAGGCAAGTTGGTTTGCTTTGTGACCAAAATACAAATGTATAATTATTTATAAGTGTTTTAACTTAGTGTGGTTTATACCTAGGAACTAGATAAAAATGAATTTCAGTCTGTGTCACTGTTGCTGAAATGTATTCAGCGATTCCTCGTAGATGGCCTGAAAGAAGATGAACCTCTGCTAATTCGGCAGGGACTGATCCCAAAGATAAGTGTCCTATTTTAATTTTATATGGCTTTGGGTAACTTAGAGAACTTAGGTGGATTTAGTTGTCTAGTTAAGTTTGGTATTTTCTGTTCCTTTGAAATCCAATTTGAAAAGAAATTGATATCCATTCTTATTGCTTCTGTCTAACCAAAAATTAAATTCGACATACATTTCCTGATGTACCTGCTATAGAAGGCACTTTGGGAGTGCACAGGATCGAGTCAGACACAACCACTGCCCTTGTTGAGCCTATGCAGTAATTATTATTTTAAATTATTTTAGTGAATTTGGGGGAAAATGAGTAGGAGTAGGCTCTAGAACTATTTTAATAGACTTTATTAACAAGATTAGACCTAGAAAAATGATCGTCAAAAACTTTTCTTTGCCCTTGTAACACCTCACTTTATCCATTTTCTAAACCTTGGATGAATCTGAAAAAACAAATAGCAGAAACATTTTTGCTTATTCAAAGTTACCCAAATTATCAGCTTTTATTCTTTTAAAAATAATAACCAAGAGATAACATGGCGAGTGCCTTTATAACGGCATCTGGAAGTAAAGCAGAATCTGCAACATCTCTTGCTGCAGTTCCGCTCTTTTAGTGGTGAGGTTTTTGCAGCCCAGAGGCAAGTTTGTTTATTGACGAGGAGATGTGGGGAAGAAGTAGGGTGGAAGGATCATCTGGCTGCTAATAATGTCTTTGATTTACCCCTTGAGCTCCAGTACCAGAAGTTTATTGAGGCCAGATTGGGCCAAGATCTGTCTTTGCCCTTTGTTACTCTAAAATGCGTCTAATTATGAAGCTACCCCCTCAGGAGAGAAAGCAAACTCCAGGCTTTCCCAGACTCCTCTCAGGGACTTTAAAGTGTTTGCAGGGGGAATTAAGGACTGTGTTTATGCAAACCGTATATATTTCGTTCTGCATATAACCCCACTTGACCTGTTGATACGCCAACTTCTGCAGATAACAGGAAGCAGGGGAAAGGAGATAAAAATCTCAAAGGAAATGAGGCAGAGATGTCCTAAGTGTACCTTGGAACCCTAAGCTGACCTTTTGGGGTATGAATAGGACTTCTTCTGCGCAGAGGGGTACCTCCTTGGCCAGTTGCCATGAGAGCACACCTGAACAAAGGGGCACGAGGGCCTTTATTCCTGACGCAAGTCCTGCCCCTGTACCCTTTCCCCATTGGCCGGGGTCGGGTCGTACAATCTAATTCCGGTTGGCTAAACATTTCCTTTTTTTCTTTTTAGATAGGGTGGGCATGTAAGAGAAAGTGGAGAGGAAGGGGAAGGGGTGTCTGTAATGAGCTAGAAAGTTAGTCCTCTTTTCAAATAAGGAAAGGAATGTGAGCTGGTACTGATAACGCTTGCTACCGTGGCGTGCCTGGGCATCTAACAAAGGCAAAAAGGAGAAAGGAGAACAAAAGGGGGGGGTACTATGAATTAGAGAATAAAAGATTGATCAGATTATTCGAAGAGAAACCTCATCATATTCCACATCTCGAACTCCCAACCTCAGATGATTCCCCTGCCTCGGCCTCCCAAAGTGCTGGGATTACAGGCGTGAGCTCCCGCGCCTGGCCAACTCTATACTTCTAAAGACAACTGTGTTTGCAGACTGAACACAAAGTGTGCTCGGAAGTTCTTCTACTACATAGAATAAGAATTCCTGGCACGGCGGCTCACGCCTGTAATCCCAGCACTTTGGGAGGTTGAGGTGGGCAGATCACCTGAGGTCAGGGGTTCAAGACCAGCCTTGCCAACATGGTGAAACCCTGTCTCTATTAAAAATACAAAAATTAGCTGGGCAGTGGTGGCACATGCCTGTAATCCCAGCTACTTGGGAAACTGAGGCAGGAGAATTGCTTAAGCTGGAGGTTGTGGTGAGCCAAGATGGTGTCACTGCACTCCAGTCTGCGTGACAGAGTGAGACCCTGTCTCCAAAACAAAACAAGCCCTACAGAAAGGAACATCTTTAGTCCTGTACCGTAAAATCCAGGAGGATTAAGCAACTTTTCTGATACCATATTCCTAAGAAGTCATGGCTGTTGTGTCTGGCTTCTGTAGTGATACAACTGTGGGGAGAGCTGGGATGTCTGTTAGACAATGTGTGACCAGGGCACATAAATGGGTTCAGTGAGAACTTCCTGTTCCCAAGTATTGATCAGATAGTGCAGCCTTTCTGCCACTTCTGTATCTCCTCAACCAGTATATTTGGGAGGGTGCTGGGAGGGTGCTGGGAGTGCGATAGGCTTTGGAGGGATAGATGGAGTGGTGACAAAAATGTATTTAAAAAGCATAGAATTTTGAGTATGAACATAGGGAGGGAGAAAATACAGCCTTAGCAGTGAGTTCTGCTGCGTAGAGGGACATTTCTTTTCTTGTGCTATTGGAGCAAAGCTTCCTTCAGCAGGTGGATGATTCAATCTAGTATAAGTATTTGTCTGATTTGAGACAAAAGAAACCTTACTTGGAAGATAGTAATGGCTTTCAAACCTTGCTGTACATTACAGTCACCTGGAGAGCTCTCACAAACGTTCTTAAACCTAAAATAGAAAACTCAGGTGGGGGTGTATCACCAGTGATTCTGATTACTGGGTCTGGGATAGGTCCCAGGCTTCAGCAGTGGGGGATGTTTCCTAACTCCCCAGGTTTTCCTAATGTACAGCCAAGGTTGAAAACTGGTTTTATCTTCAGCTGGGCTGTCTCAGGTTCTTGGCCCAAAGTATACAGAGTTTTGAAGGCCTGACTCCTGCAAGAGTTGTTCGTCAGAAACTCATGTGACTGATGTCATGTTCAGCTGATAATTTCTAACTATGCATGCGGAGTTTTTCTAATTTTTTTTTTTCTAAGAGTGACCAGTCTCAGTTAAAATCATGGGAAAAATAAGATGGCTTTTGCTTTATTGAGGAAATACTGTATATTCTGGAGTGGGGGAGGAAAGGTTGCAGAAGTTTATTTTAAATCATTCCAATCCCAGCAGTTTAATATGAAATTGGATATGTATTCCTATAGGAAAAAATTCTCTAATTAGCTGGAAGCTTTTTAACGAAAGAAAGATACCTAGGCCTGAGGCATATTTACTATAATCAAGAATACTTCTGAGAACTTTCCAAATTCTGTGTCTTCTTTGATAGTTTGTTTTCAGCAGATTCTCAGATCGCAAGATTTTTTTTCCACCTGTGCTGGGGAGGCTCACTTATCTCTTTTTTTTTTTTTTTTGGAGGTGGGGTCTCGCTCTGTTCCCCAGGCTGGAGAATAGTGGTGTGATCACAGCACTTGCTAAAGTGTTGACCTTCTGGGGTCAAGTGATCCTCATACCTCAGCCTCCCAAGTAGCTGGGACTAGAGGTGTGCACCACCACACCCAGCTAATTTTTATATTTTTTGTAGAGACGAAGTTTAACCATCTTTCCCAGGCTGGTCTTGAACTCCTGGCCTCAAGTGATCCACCTGTCTCGGCCTCTCAAAGTGCTGGGATTACAGGCATGAGCCACTGCGCCTGGCCTCATTTATCTCTTAAATGTTCCTCACTAGTCCCTTTATATGAATTTCTGACACGGATCCTGGCTGGGACTCTTATTTTGTGCTGATCTCTGAGAGCTTACTTATGACAGCTCTGTAGTAGTATGGCACCATCCTGAAGTGTTCTGGTGGGAGGCCTCAGAGCCAGGCCTCATTGAAATGGAATGGAATGGGAAAAGATCTTTAAGATTATTTTGTTGTAATGAGAAAATTGTCTTGTGCAATTTTATTGAATAGGCAGCATTTAGTCTTATGTAGTTACGTTAGTGTCCTCCTGTGTACCTAGTTTCCTGGTTTGAAAGAACAACAGGAATTCTGACCTCGGAAGGCCTAGCCTCAGACACGTCGCTGATTTGTGTTATAGAAGATTTCTTTGACACTGCATTGGTAAGGATGGGATGGATGCTTCACTGAGCAGATGCCATTGGTAATTGGCAGGAATCTTCAAGTTATTTATAAAACATGGTTTTCTATAATATGTAAGTTTTGTTAAAAGACTCACATGGCTGGGCGTGATGGTTCACACCTGTAATCCCAGCACTTTGGGAGGCCGAGGTGAGTGGATCACCTGAGGTCAGGAGTTCGAGACCAGCCTGGCCAACATGGTGAAACCCATCTCTACTAAAATACAGAAATTCGCCGGGCGTGGTGGTGGGCGCCTGTAATTTCAGCTACTTGGGAGGCTGAGGCAGGAGAATCGCTTGAACCTGGGAGGCGGAGCTTATATAGTGAGCCGAGACCACGCGATTGTACTTCAGCCTGGGAAACAAGAGTGAAACTCTGTCTCAAAACAAAAGACTCTCGTGTTTTATTATTAGAATATTATTAATATGTGATATAGTAAGAAACATATATAACCGATGTTAAAAATGAGAGGTGATTTATTATCATACAAATATATTAGTCACCTGATTGAGAGTGATATGCACATTTTAAGGAAGTGATTAAGGCCCAGATAGGCTTTCTCTAAAATGCTTTTCTTCTGTAAAGTCAATGCCTGCCTGTTAGAGAAAGTTAACACTAATACATTCACATTACGGTTTATCATGCTGTTTTAAAATAATATGAGCTTTACTTTTTCTTTCTTTTTGTTAGATTATTTCCAGGAGTAGTAGTGAAGGTAAGTATATTATTGGCTACTAATTGGCTATTAATTTTTCATTAATAGAATATTCTGGCACAGAGAAAAGAAAAATGATATGTAAAAGTAAAGTGAGTTTAAACATTTTATTTGGATTTATTGACCACCTTATGGTCATCATAGTGTCATTTGGAAATGCATTTCATTGTAGAAAAAAGTCTTGTATTTGTCTGAGAAGCATTTTTATTTCGCTGCTCCTGACATATGGCTAGCTCTGTTCAGGTAATGGAAAGTCACTTTTGTCATTCAAATATGCAAAAATTTAGCTACTACTGATTTAACTTGGAGCTGATTCAGATGCCTTTCTCTGTCTTTCAAGAGTGTAAAAGGTAAAATTTTAGAAACTTTGGAGGATAGATTGATTTTGTTCCATTTAGCTCAAATTAAAGGTAATTATGCTGGGTGTGGTGGCTCACGCCTGTATTCCCAGCACTTTCGGAGGCTGAGGAGGGAGAATTGATTGCATCCAGAAGTTTGACACCAGCCTGGGCAACATAGTGAGACCCCCATCTCTACAAGAAATAAAAAATTATTGGGGTGTGGTGGCCTGCACCTGTAGTCCCAGCTACTTGGGAGGGTGAGGTGGGAGGATCACTTGAGCCCCAGAGTTTGAGGCTGCAGTGAGTCATGATCGTGCCACTCCACTCCAGCCTGGGTGACAGCGTGATCCTGTCTCAAAAAAAAGTAATTTGACATTTGAATTATGATACCATGGATTCAAAGATGCACTTAAATATTTAAACATTTTGGAAATTGGAGCCATCTTGATATGTCATTTTTCTATGTTACATGTTTTTAGTTTTCTTCTGAAAGGCTGTCATTAATTGACACTACATTCTGCAATGGATGGTATCTGGTAGTTGAGGAAATTCAGTACCAGAAGCTTAAGCATGCCCTGTGCTTGGTTGACTTTAAAACTTGGTTGACTTGGTTGGTCCTCATAATTCAAGTCAGTGGTTCCAAACATTTTCAAGTCAAAGTTTTATGATCATCACAATGACAGTTGCTGTCTTTAAAACTGGTTGATAAAATGCACAGTGGTAAACTACTTTGATTTTTGTAACATTTTAAAATAAACTTGCTTTGTATTAATCCCAACAATATGTATATACTGCATATTTGAAAAACAGTGCAGATGTGAGCTATATATTCACTCTACGGTCATTGCTTGGTGCATTTATGGATTCACATAATGCTATAATGACTTTCATTGCCCCTGGTAGAGGAAACACTGTTCTAGATGACTGTGTTAGTCCAATTAGGCTGCCATGACAAAATGCCATCAATTGGGAGGCTAAGCCAACAGACATTTATCTCTGGAGGCTGGGATTAAGAGATTAGGGTACCAGCATGGTTGGATTCTGGTGATGGCCTCTTTCTGGCTTCTTGCTGTATGCCTACATGGTGGGCAGAGACCTGGCTTCTTGCTGTGTGGCTACAAAGTGGACAGAGAGCCAGAGCCAGAGCTCTTTCTTTTTCTTTTCTTTTCTTTTTTTTTTTTTGAGACAGAGTCTCACACTGTTGGCTCAGACGAGTGCAGTGGCACGTTCTCAGCTCACTGCAACCTCTGCCTCCCGGGTTCAAGCAATTCTCCTGCCTCAGCCTCCTGGGTAGCTAGCATTACAAGCGTGTGCCACCACGCCTGGCTAATTTTTGTATTTTTAGTAGAGATGGGGTTTCACTATTTTGGCCAGGCTGGTTTTGAACTCCTGACCCCAGGTGATCCACCCACCTCGGCCTCCCAAAGTGCTGGGATTACAGGCATGAGCCATCGCGCCTAGACGGAGCCAGAGCTCTTATAAGGGCACTCATCCCATCATGAGGATCCCACACTCGTGACCTCATCTGAACTTCCCTTACCAAAGGCTGCATCTCAAATACCACACTGAGGGTTAAGGCTCCAACATATGAATTTCGGGGGGGGACACAGTCCCATCTATAGCAACGACAGTTTGTGCTTGGAGCCCACTCTGGTCACCTTAGCGGGGCTGGCCTCTCTGAAGTGACAGGTTTTCACATGTGGCCTTTGACAGTTGTCTTGTGCGAGCTTTATGCCCAGGCTCTGCAGAGCTACTGTCTAATCCCTCTCTCCGAAGTAGAAAGATGTTTTCACTGAATTTCTTCTCACCTCCTTCTGCAATTGACACAATTAATCACTCCTTCCTTTTTGTTCTGAAACTTACGTCTTCTTACTTATTTTTATGATTCTTTTGTTTGTGTTCTGCTATATGGATTATGACTTTCTTTCAATCACAGTTTATCCCTCTCTAGTGATTTGAATGGCTTATGTCCTACTTTTATTTTACCGGTAGTTACCCTTAATTTAATTACTAACATCAAAAAATGATGGTACCTTATTTCTTCTTCTTTGTATATGACAACAAGTTTAATGTGTTAAAGAAATGTAAGAGTATTAGGCTGTGAGAGGGACATGGTCAGAGCTTTTCATCGTTTGAAGATGTCTTTCTGGCTTTTATACAATATTACTCTCACTTTGCAGTCTTTGCCCCTTACAATCCTGTTGCATTATCTTCTGATATTAAGGGTTGAAAGCGTGTTTATTTTACATGGTTCTTGGTGACTTATTTTGAATCCAAATCTTACTTTAGCTCAGGAAAATTTGTTCTTTGATACTTTTATTACAGCAGAGTTTCTCAATTTTGGCAATATAGATATTTTGAACTGGGTAATTCTTTGTCGTGGGTGCTGTCCTGCGCATCAGAGGGTGTTTGGCGGCATCCTTGGCCTCTACCCTCTAGATGCCAACAGCATCCATCCCCACGTCATGACAACCAAAAACATCTCCAGACATTGCTAAGTGTCCCCTGTGGGGCAAAATCATCTCTAGTCAACAACTGCTGAGGTAGAGTGCTTTGGGTGTATTTAACAGAGTATCTAGTTCAAATAGGCTTAAATGATAAAGACAACTTACTGGCTCAAGGGACTGAAAAGTCTAGAGGTGGGCAGTTTGGAAATAGCGTGGCTCCGCCCCATTTCTCTGCAGCCCAAAATTTCAGTTCTGCCTTTCTCAGAGTCTAGTCTTTGCTCTCAATGTGGTTTCCTTGTTGGTTGCAACCAGAACTTTGTGCTTCCTGGTTCACATCTGGGGAGAAAGTTTCACTTTCCTCAACCAGCAAATGAAAGCCCTAGCTTTGCTCTGATTGGATGCCCTGCCCTCCAGATGAACCAGTCACTATGAAAGGATAAATGGGCCACCTCTGCCTAGTTTAAGCCAGTCTAGATTTACCCCTGGAACTGATCGGTCTCACCCAAATAGCACAATTGCTCCGTAACAGAGGAGTGGGGAAGGATGGTGGGGAGGCCACCAAAAAGTCCATTACAGTTACTTTCTGTTCCCTCTTTGTAAGATTATCTGTCACATCTTTGTTTTTATCTTCATATGCATCTTTTCCTCGCTCACTTTCCCCCCTGCATTTTGACAGCAGTTCTCAAGTTCTTCTTAGAAGAAGAATTACCTGGCTTGAAATATCAATATTGCCAAAGTTGAAAAAGTCTGCTGTAATAAAAGTATCAGAGAATTAATTTTCCTGAGCTAAAGTAAGATTTGGTTTCAAAAAAGTCACCAAGAACCATGGAAAATAAACGCGTGTATGCGTGTGTGCACATGCTCACAACCCTTAATACCAGAAGACAATGCAACAGGATTGTAAGAGGCACAGCCTGCAAAGTGGGTTATATTGTAGAAAAGCCAGAACGACATCCTTAGTGAAAAGCTCTGACCGTGTGTAGGAGTCATTTTCTTACTCTTCCAAACATAAATTTGATGCTTTGAAATTATACTTTCAGGGAAAATTCAGATGTTGGATTCCTTCCTACTTAGCTTAGGATTCCTGGTGACAGAAAAGACTGTAAATCATTTGCTTCAACAGGAGGTGAGTTGCAAGTAACAAAACAGGTAATAGTGGTTCCAGAAACCTAAAAGAAGATCGTACATAGGTCTCTGTTTTCTTTCTTCTCCATGAATGTCTTCTCAATTCCAAAAAGGGCTTGAAGACTTTTAACTGCATTTTGCACGCTGTCCCTCGAGAAGAGAGAAAAAAATTCCCTTTGTCAGAAGGCATGTGTCATCTTATGTAAGTGACTTTGTATAAGTTACGTGCTGTAGTAAGGGTAAAATCTCTCATGAGTGTATGGCTTCAGTCTGTGTTCTACTTAGACCTGATTATGTCCTTTCTCTCTTGGGTAAATGCTTTGTGCACCTATTATGTGTCAGGCACTATGCTAGGTGATAAAGACGGGCTGAGGTAAAAAGAAGACATTGTGCCCAGGCGCCGTAGATCACGCCTGTAATCCCAGCACTTTGGGGGGCCAAGGCGGGCAGATCATGAGGTCAGGAGATCGAGACCATCCTGGCTAATATGGCAAAACCCCATCTCGGCCAGGCGTGGTGGCTCACGCCTGTAATCCCAGCGCTTTGGGAGGCCAAGGCGGGTGGATCACGAGGTCAGGAGATCGAGACCATCCTGGCTAACACAGTGAAACCCTGTCTCCACTAAAAATACAAAAAATTAGCCGGCTGTGGTGGTGGGCACCTGTAGTCCCAGCTACTCAGGAGGCTGAGGCAGGAGAATGGCGTGAACCTGGGAGGTGGAGCTTGCAGTGAGCCGAGATCGCGCCACTGTGCTCCAGCCTGAGGGTGACAGAGTGAGACTCTGTCTTAAAATAATAATAATAAAAAAAGAAACTCTATCTCTACTAAAAATACAAAAAATTAGCTGGGCTTGGTGGCACACACCTATAGTCCCAGCTATTCAGGAGGTTGAGGCAGGAGAATCGCTTGAACCCAGGAGGCGGAGGTTGCAGTGAGCTGAGATTGCACCACTGCACTCCAGCCTGGGTGATAGAGCGAGACTCTGTCTCAAAAAAATAAAAATAAATAAAAATAAAAAAATAAAAAAGACATTCCTAGATTTTTCCTTTTTAATAATTATAATTTTTTTTTCTTTTTGCTTCAACGTTGTGAGGCAAAATGTTTTCTCAGGCTATATTTTTTCATTGTGAATGTGAACTAAATTAGTGACTCATGGGAGAATGTTAAGAGTACAGACGGTAGAGCCTGCGTGGCTTCAAATCCTAGTTTTGCCACTTTTGCCAGCTGTCTATGAGCACAGCTCTAACTTCATCACACCTCAGTTTGTTTGCCTGTAAAATGGAGTCAAAGTAATACTACTTGATAGTTATTGTAAAGGTTAAATCAAGCAATCCATGTAAAGTGATTAGCACATTATCTGCTAAAGAGGAAGTGCCCCAAGGTTTCCAGTAGCTACACTAATGGGGCATGGAATTTTGATTGCTTTTCAAGTGATGGATTTTTTGTTTGTTGGTGACCCAAAGTCATTGTTGCGTAATTCTTGGGACATGAGATTTGGAGGTAAGGTTGTAATGTGTGACCATACAAACAACAAAACCAGCACCGTGTTTTGAAGTTGGAACCTGAACCCACGACTGCGCTAACAACCAGCCAGCGCGGAGGACATCATGGTGGCACATTATTTGCGTGGTGTGTGGCCACAGTGTAGGGCCTGAAATGGGTGATTTGTGAGCATGAAACTCACTGCTGTCGTGTTTGTCCATTTAGTCTTTGCAGGATATAGTTTTTACACAGAATTTTTCCTAAACAAATTTTTATTTAATACGTTAGTGAAATCACTACTCTTAGTGGTGTATTTAGATTTGGAGAGCAGCTGATCTCATGTTTTCTCCTAAGTTTTCAAACTAATCTTTGAACACACTACCTTATTGTCTGTGTGTTCTAGAAAGTCTGGAATGTTCTGGACTTCAAAGGTAAAACCTGCAAGTATAAAATTAAGCAGAATTAATTTCGCTCAGTGGTACTGTTTTCTGGTTTCTATTTAATAGTAACAAGTCGAGCTGCTTCTTACAAGAGACTGAACTATCACAAGGTTTCTCAACAAATCTGTTCTTTAAAATGGGAGTTATTTCAGGCATTAAAAGATCGACTCGGCCGGGCATGGTGGCTCACACCTGTAATCCCAGCACTTTGGGAGGCTGAGGCTAAGGTGGGCGGATCACTTGAGGTCAGGAGTTCGAGACCAGCCTGACCAACATGGTGAAGCCCCGTCTCTCTTAAAAATACAAAACATTAGCTGGGTGTGGCGGGCACCTGTAATCCCAGCTACTTGGGAGGCTGAGGCAGGAGAATTGCTTGACCCTGGGAGGCAGAGTGCATTGCAGTGAGTCGAGATCGTGCCACTGCACTCCAGCCTGGGTGACAGAGCCAGACTTGGTCTCAAAAAAAAAAAAAAAAAAAAAAAAGAAGAAGATCGACTCACACTTGTTAGCATTTATTTGAAATTCTGAGTGAATATACAATTCAGGAGTCTGCATTAGTTACAATAATGTAATAACTTAATTCTATTACATCTCTAAATTATTATTATTATTACCATTTTTTTTTTGAGTCGGAGTTTCACTCTTGTTGCCCAGGCTGGAGTGCAATGGCACGCTCTCGGCTCACTGCAACCTCCGCCTCCCGGGTTCAAGAGATTCTCCTGCCTCAGCCTCCCGAGTAGCTGGGAATACAGGCATGTGCTGCCACACCTGGCTAGTTTTGTGTTTTTAGTAGAGATGGGGTTTCTCCATGTTGGTCAGGCTGGTCTCGAACTCCGAACCTCAGGTGATCTGCCCGTCTCGGCCTCCCAAACTGCTGGGATTACAGGCGTGAGCCACTGTGCCCAGCCTAGATTAGTTTTTAAAATCAGATCAAGCAGCTCATAGGAAAGAATCACTGTCGTATCATTTCCTGCAAGTATCAAACTGTGTAAAAGGACATACGCCCTCACAGGTTGGTGCGGTGATTATAAAACTCCAGAATTAATCTGATGAACCCTTAGAGATCATCAAATTGAATTCACTTTACAAGAGGGAAAACAGAACCTCAGAGTGTATATAGTAGTTCTAGCATCTTAAAAAATAACATCTAGATCATTAATATATAAACTTGAGAAGGTTTTTCCATAAATATGTGTTGGCATTAAGGAAATTTTGATGCTGAATTTGAAATAGTTTCAGAAACATATACTTTGGTTTTAAAGTTTAATGCTAGTGTAGTAAAGTTTTACCTCTTGATGTTCACTTCAGTTAAATGTGATTTATCTAAATGTTTCAGGAAAGACCTTGCAAGGACACTCTTGACTGTGGGTGGTAAGAAATTTTAGAATTTTCAGTATTAGAATATTAAATATTGGACACTGGGGGTTTTATGAGCATCTTGGGACTATGGGGAATAAATTATGGTTAAATTGAAGATAGGAATCAGGGTTTTATTTTAAATTTATTTTGAGAGATTTTAGCATGCTGGAAACTGTAAAGAATAATTCGTGAGTACTCATTTACTCACCAGCCAGCTTTGTCACAATTTAGCATTTTACCGCATTAGCTTCAAGTCTGTTTTTAAAGAAAAAAAAAACAGTGTCATGGATAAAGTCCCCTGTGTCCATGTTCCTCATCCCATTTCCCTCTCCTTGACTCAGATTTGTTTTTCGTTCCCAAGCATATTTTTCTACTTTTACTCTGTACATCCCTAAACAACATGCATTATCATTTTGCAGATTTTAAAAGCATTCTATAAATGCCATTCCTTTTTACCCTTAGAATTGTTTGAAATTTAAACATGTTGCTACATGTAGTTTTAGTTTATTTGCTGTGAAATACTACAAGTTATTTTGGGATTTTATTTTGTAGTAGAAACTTTTTTTTTTTTTTTGATGGAGTTTTGCCCTTGTTGGCCAGGCTGGAGTGCAATGGCGCGATCTCGGCTCACTGCAGCCTCCGCCTCCCGTTTTCAAGCGACTCTCCTGCCTCAGCCTCCCGAGTAGCTGGGATTACAGGCACGCACCGCCACACCTGGCTAATTTTTGTATTTTTAGTAGAGACGGGGATTTCACCATGTTGGCCAGGCTGGTCTCGAACTCCTGACCTCCGGTGATCCTCCTGCCTCGGCCTCCCAAAGTGCTGGGATTACAGGCATGAGCCACCACGCCTGGCCAGTAGAAACATTTTTAAGGCTGTTTGATGATTTGGTTTGAATGAGTATTTTAATATATTTAAAATATAACACCCATAAATATTATTTATTTAAAAATTGTTATATGCCAACCTCTTGTTTAGATTTTTATTGTATTTCTTAAATACTCAATTTAAATGATTTTGGCTAGGCATGGTGGCTCATGCCTACAATTCCGGCACTTTGGGAGGCCGAGGTGGGCAGATTGCTTGAACCCAGAAGTTCAAGACCAGCCTGGCCAACATGGCAAAACCTTATCTCTACTAAAAACATAAAGATTAGGTAGGCATGATGACACATGCCTGTAATCCCAGCTTCTTGGGAGGCTGAGGCAGGAGAATCACTTGACCCAGGAGGCAAAGGTTGCAGTGAGTCGAGATTGGGCCACTGCACTCCAGCCACCACTGCACTCCAGGGTGACAGAGTGAGACAATCTCAAAAAAAAAAAAATAGAATTTAAATGATTCTAATTACTCCAGGATGCATTTTGCTGTGGTAACTTTTTAAGACACAATGCTAGGCTTCTCAGATGGAGTTTCTTAGAGCAAGTGCTAAATCTGGAACTCATTTTTTCTTTTGCTTTGTGCCCAGAATTATCTATGTCTACTATGTTTTTAATCTCTAGATTATGACCAGCAGGTTGCTATTTCTGAAGCGCTGTGTAGACTGACGATTAAAAAATCAAGGGATGAACTTGTCCATAAATGGTTTGATGATGAAGTCATTGCTGAAGCTTTCAAAGAAATTAAGGATCGAGAATTTGAGACGGTGAGATTCCTGGCCATGCGAATTTCTTATTAGCCAATATTTATTAAGCATCCGCTGAGAACTTTCCTGTGCATTGGGCTTACGGGAGGATTTTTTTGCTTAAGTGTGATTACACTGCCATTCTTGAACTTGTTTCTCACTTAGGAGAAACAATTTGAGGGTAATATGAACAGAATATTTGTGAGCTAGATATAGGGATACAGATAGGTTTTTTTTTTTTTTTTTTGACAGAGTCTCACTCTTGCCCAGGCTGGAGTATAGTGGCGCAATCTCAGCTCACTGCAACCTCTGCCTCCTGGGTTCAAGTGATTCTCCTGCCTCAGCATCCCAAGTAGCTGGGATTATAGGCACCTGCCACCACACCTGGCTAATTTTTTATTTTTAGTAGAGACCAGGTTTAGCCATGTTGGCCAGTCTTATCTTGAACTCCTGACCTCAGGTGATCCGCCCACCTTGGCCTCCCAAAGTGCTGGAATTATAGGCATGAGCCACCATGTCTGTCTAGGACTTCTTTATAGGAGACAGAACTAGGTGAATTTGATGGATCCAGTTAAAAAAAAAGTCTTGGAAGGGTGAGCAATTTTCAATGAACCTTGAATGGTAGGAAGAATTGAAGAAGAAATCAGAGCATTTTTGCCTTGCAGAAGGCAGCTGCTGTGATGGCAGGAGGCTGAAATGGACATGGCCTGGCAGAAGAGTATTATGGGGTGGTTGTGTTGTGAGCCATCTGGCCTGTACAATTTGGAGAAACAATACTTTTTTTTTTCTTCTCTGCAAGCTGGGCTTCCTGTGATTGTGTCCTCAGGCTGCACAAAAATAGCGTATGGCTTTGCTGTGTATTCACCTTCATCTTAAAATAGCTAGAACATTTTCCCTCTTCTTTTAAAAAGTTTTTAAAATGAGGGTTAGACTCTTGTAGGAAAAGGTAGAATTCTTAATAACAGTACTCATGTTGACAAACCTTTCTCGTCAAAATTCCTATGTAATCAAGACTCTTATGAAATATGGACCTTTATATTTCCTCAGACTCTGAGCCTACTGTCATATACTGCATAAAGTAATTCTTTAGCCAGGATTCAGTATAATCTCAGTGGAAAGACCATGAGCTTTGGGGCTATCCCAAACTGGGTTGAACCTAGAGTTTGAGCCCCACCTCTCCAATTTATGGGATGTATGCATTTTGGCAAGGTAGTTGACTTGTGAAGCCTGAGTGACCTCATCTGTAAAATGGGACTAAAGCCCACCTCAAAGTCTTGAGAACTCAGTGAGAGAAACTGAAAGGTCCAGGGCTGTTGTAGGCGCTCACGTGTTAATTTCCTTTCTGCTCTTTGTCATTTCTCATTTGCAGGAAAATTTGATGAAAATAGAGAAATGTAATTATCTTGTTTCCAAAATCATTTCCTTCCCCAGAGCTATCAACTTCTCAATTGAATTTTTTTTTTTTTTTTTTTTTTTTTGAGACAGAGTTTCTTTCGGTCTTGTTGGTCAGACTGGAGTGCAGTGGCATGATCTCGGCTCACTGCAACCCCCGCCTCCTGGGTGCAAGCAATTCTCCTGCCTTATCCTCCCGAGTAGCTGGGATTACAGGCGTGTGCCACCACTCCCGGCTAATTTTGTATTTTTAGTAGAGACGGGGTTTCTCCATGTTGGTCAGGCTGGTCTCCAATTCCCAACCTCAGGTGATCTGCCCGCCTCGGCCTCCCAAAGTGCTGGGATTACAGGCGAGAGCCACCACGTCCGGCCCGAATTGCTTTTTTGCATGAAAGGCTTACACTGCTGAGGTCTATTTACTCCTGAATGGTAGATCAGGAGCATAAGGAGTGTTGACTGCAACAGTCAATTCTTGCTAACAAAAGGGAACAAAAACTTGGATCTGTCTCTTTGTTTTTAGAATGTTGGGGGGCAGCAGATTTCTTCCTGAGAGCTGTTGGTTAGGAGAACTCTAATAATAGTCTTTGTTCTTAGAACATATGCTAGGAGAAGACAGTGAGATAGAGAACTCCCAAAAAGGAAAGTTGGCCGTAGATAATACACCCAGATCACAGTTAATACATTTTGTAGGTTTGTGGTTGGTTAGTGCTGTGCAGGTGTTAGGGAGGTGGATGCCCAATGGGTCGGTCAAATATTGTAACCTAGGTCATCAGTAAGACGTATTTATCTTGCTTACACTTCTGACCCAGTGAAACATAACCAGGCATTTAACTTTTGGAGACCTAAGTATTCCTCAGCTGAAAATCTAATGGCTGCAGGGAGCAAAGGTTCCTTCTGGAAACATGATCCTGGAGCCTCCTCTTTGTGGCATGAAGTATTGTTAACATATAATAACAAATCCTTGTAAAGCCTCATTGATGTTACTGCCTCCTGGTCATTTAGAAGCAAACACTGGCCTCTGTATGCTAAGGTAGTATTAACTAAGACATCTTGATTTTTTTTTAATAAAAGTTTATATCATTTGCTTTGAAGGACAGTAGACGTTTTCTCAATCACCTAAACAACAGACTTGGTGACCAAAGAAGGTAAGTTGTGTCTCTGAGCATTATTGACTAGTTGTATTCTGAAAATGTCTAATATTTTAAAAGAACAGTTTAGGGTCTGTTTCATTTTAGGAGAGAATATTGGGTACATCATTTACAGAGTATACTGAGTTGTCCATTGAGTGGAAACCTGAGAAGATCAGACCCTTTCTGCCTAGTGGCTTGTTCGAGTGTGTTTAAAAATTACCTCTATCAGTTTTATTATATTTGTGACTTGGGGTATTTTAAAATAATACATTCTTTAAAGAGTTCATAGACTTTATGAAGAACAATTTCCTGACTTGAGGTTGCTGGAGGTAGTTGTATCGTGAACAGTTAAGTCCTTGGTCAGACAATATTTGCTAAATTCACTCCTTTTGTTTGGGAATCTGGCTGAGTAACTGGGTTGAGATATAGTACTAGTAAACCTGGCTTACTGACTGCCAGATGGAGATTTGAAATCTACCCATAGTAGGTCTCCATTTGCAGGCTTGAAACCCCCTATTGTACTCTGTACGAGGAGACTTAATGGCATACTCTAGTTATAAGTGCTTGTTGCGGAACGTCTGTAGATGTGTTTAAGATTCATTCATGTTTTATTTTTTTAATTGTGAGGTATTTTGCAGGGTGTATTCATTTCCGTGTATTGCTGCTTTTGCTGATGAGCATGAGGTATGTTCATCCCTCTTGGAGGTCCTGAGGGCGGTGTGCAGTGAAACCAGGAGTTAGGTTTACGTGGTTAGATCAAACTTTTGCTCTCATAACTCAAAAGGGCTTTTTAAAAAAGGATGCCAACGTCTTCTAATGACCTCAGTTCTCAAACCGATCATACCATACCCTAACCAGAATGCGTTACCAGTAAGTTTAAGGCCTCTACTGTTACTACTGGAAAAAGGAATTTTAGGGTCTGTACTGTGTACATGAGCACAGTTACAGGAAGCTTGCCTCATTTTACCCTATTCATGGGTAACATAATTCATGCCTAGACTGGGGTAAAAAGGATGATTTCCTTGCTTCTTTCCTTCCGGTTTATGCCCTGTCCTCTTATTCTCAACAACTGGGGCCACTGTCCTTTCTCTCTCTCTCATTCTACCTTGCACTTTATAGTCCAAGGTTGACCAGTTTCTTCCCCACCCCCCATTTGGTTTCTAGAGGAACAAGGTCCTTCATATAAAAGGGCCCTAACCTACAGCATCTCAGTTTCAGGCTAAAATATTTAGAGGTCTTGGAAGCTTGACTTTGTTTGAGTGTCCTGAACCCTGTCTTCAGAATGTCCTCATTCATGATTTCTTTGTTTTGGGTTCAGAGTCCCCTTCTTGGCCTCTCAGAGCTAAACTTTCAGCTCATGGCTACACTACACATTCCTTCTCTCTAGAACTGAGTCTGGTAGGCTGATTCTTGTGTCTCAATTCTGTGTATTTTCCCTTTGGTTGTCTGAAGATTCTGCTCTCTGTTTGGTTTTTCTTCTTTCTATGACATCCAAATTTCCATTCACTTCCATCAGGGCCCTTACCCTGACCCTTACATTGGCTTCCAGGAACATGTATTGTGGGTGAAAGCCCTCATTCACCTCTGTAGCTATTAAAAGGTAGACATGTATGATACAAAGGAAAGATGTCCAAGAAATACAACTTATTGGAAAGTTGGATTGTAGAATAGTAAGTCTAGTGTTTTATCTGTTGTTGGGGAATAAAAGCTTTTTTTTTTTTTTTTTTTTTTTTTGAGACGGAGTCTCACTCTGTTGCCCAGGCTGGAGTGCCATCATGTGATCTCGGATCACTGCCAACTCCGCCTCCCGGGTTCATGCCATTCTCCTGCCTCAGCCTCCCGAGTATACTTGTTGATACATGTCTAGAAAACATCTGGGAGGAAACAAAGGCATTGTTAATGGTGCCTATGGAAAGGTACTTATGAAAAACTGAGGGGCAGAGAAGATGTTTACTGTTTCTATAAACACCATACTGTTAGAATCTTTCTTCCCCTGTTTTAACTCTAAGCATCTATTTATTTTAGAATAATTAAAATGAAGGAAATTTGAAGTCTTCAAGTCTTAGCTGTACTCTAATGGTTGGAAGATAGATGGCAAATCACTCATGTTTGGTTACAGTATCTCCTTCTCCAGAAGTTTCCATCCATATGCAGTGTGGCTTGTTACTGATTCAACATAGAACTGTTTTCTCCGTGATTTTCATTAGAAAAAAAATTGTGTGGATAGAATAATGTGACACATTTAAATATCTATCAAATATGCTAAGGATAGTGGGATTTTTGGAGGGGTGAGGAGGAAATGGCTGAGTTCTATAAAATTGAGATCCTTCTGTTTTGCACAAAAGAGTCAGTCAATAGAGGCCCTATAATGCTAGGATAATGCTGTTCCAGGAAGAGCACAAATTCTATTTTCAAGGGAATAATGTTTATCTGACCCTATAGCATGATTTTTATGTGTATAAGTCATGCTGAAATGATCTCTTACAGATGAGAAAACCAGCGGATGAAAAATTAGAGAAATTTTGGATCGACTTCAACCTAGGAAGTCAGAGTGTCACTTTTTATATAGACAATGCTGAGGTAATGATGTTCGATTCTTGGTTAGAACTAAGCCTTTAGAGATCTTTTTTATGTAAGTATGTGTTTTGCACTCATGAATTTCACTTATTTATTTTCCCAAGAATACTCTATGGGACTCAGTGACACTTCCGAAGGAAGCGGTGATGAATTTCAGCATAACAGGTAATATGATACATTTAAACAACCCACGTCCAGTTCCAAATATTATTTCTGTTGTATATGCAGTGTGTATTTATTTAATTCTAGGGCATATTTTGACCATGCCTTGAGGTAGGAAGGCTGTATGGTATGATAGAAGGTGCGCTGTCACAGGTTTGTGACTTCTATGCTTTGTGACCTTGGGATTAAATTATTTGTCTAGTTTTTTCATTTTAAAAATGTTTATAGATCCTCACAAAATTAAAAGTAGAACTACCATATGATCCAGCAATCAATTAACAATGCTTTTCCCCAAAGTGCTGCTTTGGTTTGAAAGAGTCTGATGGGGAGAGGAGAACATGTCATCCTAGTTCCTCTCTTGATAAACCTAGAAAATCAGGTAGTAAACTGTGGTTAGTAAGGAAGACATCTAGCAAGAAAGGACATGGCTGTCAGGAAATGAAGGTGCCTGCCCCCTCTACGGAGATGGATTGCCAGGCTCTCTTGTAACTAGTAGTTAGGATCAAGGGCTTTGCAGATCAGAGATTTTGATTTGCATTCCCCTGATCATTAGTGATGTTGAGCATTTTTTCGTGTTTTCTGGCCATTTGTATATCTTTTGAGAATTGTCTATTCATGTCCTTACCCCACTTTTGGATGGGATTTTTTTTTTCTTGCTGAATTGTTTGAGTTCGTTGTAAATTCTGGATATTAGTCCTTTGTCAGATGTATAGATTGTGAAGGTTTTCTCCACTCTGTGGGTTGTCTGTTTACTCTGCTGACTGTTCCTTTTGCCACGCAAAAGATCTTTAGTTTAATTAAGTCCCAGCTATTTATCTTTGTTTTTATTGCATTTGCTTTTGGTTTTTTGGTCATGAAATCCTTGCCTAAGCCAATGTCTAGAAGGGTTTTTCCAATGTTATCTTCTAGAATTTTTTTTTTTTTGAAGTGGAGTTTTGCTCTTGTTGCCCAGGCTGGAGTGCAATGGCGCGATCTTGGCTCACCACAAACTCTGCCTCCCAGGTTCAAGCAATTCTTGTGCTTTGGCCTCCTGAGTTGCTGGGATGACAGGCATGTGCCACCATGCCTGGCTAATTTTTTGTATTTTTAATAGAGATGGGGTTTCTCCCTGTTGGTCAGGCTGGTCTTGAACTCCTGATTTCAGGTGATCCGTCCACCTTGGCCTCCCAAAGTGCTGGGATTACATGTGTGAGCCACCGTGCCCATTCTTCTAGAATTTTTATAGTTTCAGGTCTTAGATTTAAGTCCTTCATCCGTCTTGAGTTGATTTTTGTATAAGGAGAGGGAGGAGGATCCAGTTTCATTCTCCTACATGTGGCTTGCTAATTATCCCAGCACCATTTGTTGAAAAGGATATCCTTTCCCTACTTTTATGTTTTTGTTTGCTGTATGTATTTGGGTTTATTTCTGGGTTCTCTATTCTGTTCCATTGGTCTATGTGCCTATTTTTATACCAGTACCATGCTGTTTTCATGACTATGGCCTTGTAGTATAGTTTGAAGTCCGGTAATTTGATGCCTCCAGATTTGTTCTTTTTGCTTAGTCTTGCTTTGGCTACGTGGGCTCTTTTTGGTTCCATACAAATTTTTGGATTGTTTTTTCTAATTCTGTGAAGAATGATGGTGATATTTTACTGGGAATTGTATTGAATGTGTAGATTGCTTTTGGCAGTGTGATCATTTTCATTGATTTTACCCATCCATGAGCATGGGATGTGTTTCCATTTGTTTGTGTCGTCTATGATTTCTTTCAGCAGTGTTTTGTAGTTTTCCTTGTAGAGATCTTTCACCTCCTTGGTTAGGTATATCCCTAAGTTTTTTTTTTTTTTTTTTTTTGGAGATGGAGTCTTACTCTGTCACCCAGGCTGGAGTGAGTACAGTGGTGTGATCTCAACTCACTGCAACCTCTGCCTCCTGGGTTCAAGCGATTCTCCTGCCTCAGCCTCCTGAGTAGCTGGGATTACAGGTGCCCACCACCACACCCAGCTAATTTTGTATTTTTAGTAGAGACTGGGTTTCACCATGTTAGCCAGGCCGATCATGAACTCCTGACCTCAGGTGATCCGCCCAACTCAGCCTCCCAAAGTTCTGGGATTACAGGCGTGAACCACCGCACCTGGCCCATCCCTAAGTTATTTTATTTTGTTTTTTGCATCTATGGTAAAAGGGGTTGAGTTCTTGATTTGATTCTCAGCTTGGTTGCTGTTGGTGTATAGAAGAGCTACCGATTTGTGTACATTAATTTTATATCTGGAAACTTTGCTGAATTCTTTTATCAGTTCAAGGAGCTTTCTGGAGGAATCTTTAGAGTTTTCTAGGTATACAATCATTATCATCAGCAAACAGAGACAGTTTGACTTCCTCTTTACCAATTTGGATGCCCTTTATTTCTGTCTCTTGTCTGATTGCTCTGGCTAGGACTTCCGATACTATGTTGAAGAGGAGTGGTGAGAGTGGGCATCCTTGTCCTGTTCCAGTTCTCAGATGGAATGCTTTCAACTCTTCCCCATTCGGTATTATGTTGGCTATGGGTTTGTCATAGATGGCTTTTATTACATTGAGGTATGTCCCTTGTATGCCGATTTTGCTGAGAGTTTTAATCATAAAGGGATGCTGGATTTTGTCGAATGCTTTTTCTGCATCTATTCAGATGATCATGTGATTTTTGTTTTTAATTCTGTTTTTGTGGTGTATCACATTTATTGACTTGTGCATATTAAACCATTCCTGCATCCCTGGTATGAAACCCACCTGATGATGGTGGATTATCTTTTTGATATGTCGTTGGATTCGGTTAGCTAGTATTTGTTAAGAATTTTAGCATCTATGTTCATCAGGGATATTGGTCTGTAGTTTTCTTTTTTGGTAATGTCCCTTCCTGCTTTTGGTATTAGGGTGATACTGGCTTCATAGAATGATTTAGGGAGGGTTCCCTTTTTCTCTATCTTGTGGAATAATGTCAGTAGGATTGGCACCAATTCTTCTCTGACTGTCTGGTAGAATTCTGCTGTGAATCTGTCTGGTCCTGGACTTTTTGGTGTTGGTAATTTTTAAATTACAATTTCAATCTCACTGCTTGTTATTGGTCTATTCAGGGTATCTGATTCTTCCTGATTTAAGCTAGGAGGGTTGTATCTTTCCAGAAATTTATCCATCTCTTCTAGGTTTTCTAGTTTATGTGTGTAATGGTGTTCATAGAAGCCTTAAATGATCTTTTGTATTTCAGTGGTGTCAGTTGTAATATCTCCTGTTTCATTTCTTACTGAGTTTATTTGGATTTTCTCTCTTCTTTTCTTGGTTAGTCTTACTCATGGTCTATCAGTTTTATTTATCTTTTCAAAGAACCAGCTTTTTGTTTCATTTATCTTTTGTATTGTTTTGTTTCAATTTCATCTAGTTCTGGTCTGATGTTGGTTATTTCTTTTCTTCTACGGGGTTTGAGTTTGGTTTGTTCTTATTTCTCTAGTTCCTTGAGGTGTGACCTTAGATTGTCTGTTTGTGCTCTTTCAGACTTTTTGATGTAGGTGTTTAGGGCTGTGAACTTTCCTCTTAGCATTGCCTTTGCTGTATCTCAGAGGTTTTGATAGGTTGTGTCACTGTTGTCACTCAGTTCAAAGAATTTTTAAATTTCCATCTTGATTTCATTTTTGACCCAATGATCATTCAGTAGCAGGTTATTTAATTTCCATGTATTTGCATGGTTTTGAAGGTTCCTTTTGGAGTTGATTTCCAGTTTTATTCCACTATGGTCTGAGAGAGTGCTTGATATAATTTCAACTTTCTAGCCGAGGCGTGGTGGCTCACGCCTGTAATCCCGGCACTTTGGGAGGCCAGGGTGGGCAGATCACCTGAGGTCAGGAGTTCAAGACCAGCCTGGTCAACATGGTGAAACCCTGTCTCTACTAAAAATACAAAAAAATTAGCCGGGCATGGTGGCGCATGCCTGTAATGCCAGCTACTTGGGAGGCTGAGGCAGGAAAATCGCTTGAACCTGGGAGGTGGAGGTTGCAGTGAACCAAGATTGCACTACTGCACTCCAGCCTGGGTGACAGAGCAAGACTCCATTTCAAAAAATAAAATAATCATCATAATAATTTCAGTTTTCTTAAATTTATTGAGGCTTGTTTTGTGGTCTTCTCATATGGTCTATCTTGGAGAAAGTTCCAGGCACCTGTTGAATAGAACGTATATTCTGCGGTTGTTGGATGGAATGTTCTGTATGTATCTGTTAAGTTCATTTGTTCCAGGGTGTAGTTTAAATCCATTGTTTCTTTGTTGACTTTCTGTCTTGATGACCTGTTTAGTGCTGTCAGTGGAGTATTGAAGTCCCCCACGATTATCGTGTTGCTGTCTATCTCATTTCTTAAGTCTATTAGTAATTGTTTTATAAATTTTGGAACTCCAGTGTTAGGTGCATATATGTTTAGGATTGTGATATTTTTCTGTTGGACAAGGCCTTTTATCATTACATAATGTCCCTCTTTGTCTTTTTTAACTGCTGTTTCTTTAAAGTTTGTTTTGTCTGATATGAGAATAACTACTCCTGCTCGCTTTTGGTGTCCTTTTGCATGAAATGTCTTTTTCCACGCCTTTACCTTAAGTTTATGTGAGTCCTTATGTGTTAGGTGAGTCTCTTGAAGACAGCAGATGGTTGGTGAATTCTTATTCATTCTGCAATTCTGTATCTCTTAAGTGGAGCATTTAGGCCATTTACATTCAATGTTAGTATTGAGATGTGAGGTACCATTCCATTCATCATGCTACTTCTTGCTTATATGCCTTGGGTTTTGTTTGTAATATTGTATTTTTGTTTTATAGGTCCTGTGTGATTTATGCCTTAAAGAGGTTCTGTTTTGATGTGTTTCCAGGATTCAAGATTTAGAGCTCCTTTTAGCAGTTCTTGTAGTGGTGGCTTGGTAGTGGCAAATTCTCTCAGCATTTATTTGTCTGAAAAAGGCTGTATCTTTCCTTCATATGTGAAGCTTATTTTCTCTGGATACTAAATTCTTGGCTGATAATTGTTTTGTTTGAGGAGGCTGAAGATAGGGCCCCAATCCCTTCTAGCTTGTAGGATTTCTGCTGAGAAATCTGCTGTTAATCTGGTAGGTTTCCTTTATAGGTTACCTGGTGCTTTTGTCTCACTGCTCTCAAGATTCTTTCCTTTGTTGGGAGGTTGAGGCTGGAGAGTGGTGTGAACCCAGGAGGAGGAGTTTGCAGTGAGCCGAGATCGCGCCACCTTACTCCAGCCTGGACGACAGAGCGAGACTCCATCTCAAAAAAAAAAAAAAAAAGAAAAGGAAAGAAAACCTGATGACAATGTGCCTCGCCAATGATCTTTTTGTGATGAATTTCCCGAGTGTTCTTTGTGCTTCTTGTATTTGGATGTCTTGGTCTCTAGCAAAGCTGGGGAAGTTTTCCTTGATTATTCCCCCAAATATATTTTCCAAACTTTCGTATTTCTCTTCTTTCTCGGGAGTGCCAATTATTCTCACATTTGGTCGTTTAACATCATCCCAGACTTCTTGGAGACTTTGTTCGTATTTTCTTATTCTTTTTTCTTTGTCTTTGTTGTATTGGGTGAATTCGAAGACCTTGTCTTCGGGCTCTGACTTTTTTTTTCTTTTCTTTTTTTGAGACAGAGTCTCGCTCTGTTGCCAGGCTGGAGTGCAATGGTGTGATCTCAGCTCACTGCAACCTCCGCCTCCTGGGTTCAAGTGATTCTCATGCCTCAGCCTCCCGAGTAGCTGGGATTACAGGCACGTGCCACCATACCCAGCTAATTTTTGTATTTTTAGTAGAGACGGGTTTCACCATGTTGGCCAGGATGGTCTCAATCTCCTGACCTCGTGATCCGCCCACCTTGGCCTCCCAAAGTGCTGGGATTACAGGCGTGAGCTACCATGCCCGGCTGACTTTCTTTCTTCCACTTGTTCGATTCTATTGCTGAGACTTTCCAGAGCATTTTGCATTTCTGTAAGTTGTCCATTGTTTCCTGAAATTTTGATTGTTTTTTATTTATGCCATCTATTTCATTGAATAGTTCTCCTTTCACTTCTTGTATGATTTTTTTATTTCCTTACATTGGGCTTCACCTTTCTCTGGTGCCTCCCTGATTAGCTTAATAACTAACCTCCTGAATTCTTTTTCAGGTACATCAGGGATTTCTTCTTGGTTTGGATCCATTGCTGGTGAGCTAGTATGATTTTTGGAGGGTGTTAAAGAACCTTATTTTGTCATAGTACTAGAGTTGGTTTTCTGGTTCTTTCTCATTTGGGTAGGCTCTGTCAGAGGGAAGGTCTGGGGCTGAAGGCTGTTGTTCAGATTCTTTTGTCCCATGGGGTGTGCCCTTGATGTAGTACTCTCCCTCTTTTCCTATGGTTGTGGCTTCCTGAGAGCCGAGCCGTAGGGACTATTATCTCTCTTCAGGATCTAGCCACCCAGCAAGTCTACTAGGCTCCGGGCTGGTACTGGGGGTTGTCTGTACAGAGTCCTGTGATGTGAACTGTCTATGGGTCTCTCAGCCATGGATACCAGCACCTGTTCTGATGGAGGTGGCAGTGGGGTGAAATGGACTCTGTGATGGTTCTTAACTTTGGTAGTTTAATGCTCTGTTTTTGTGCTGGTTGGCCTTCTGCCGGTAGGTGGTGATTTCCAGAGAGCATCAGCTATGGTAGTGTAGGGAGGAACAGGCGGTGGGTGGGGCCCTAGAACTCCCAAGAGTATATTCCCTTAGTCTTCAGTTACCAGGATAGGTAGGGAAGGATCATTGGGTGGGGGCAGGATTAGGAGTGTCTGAACTCAGACTCTCCTTGGGTGGGTCTTGCTGTGGCTGCTGTGGGGATATGGGTGAGGTTCCCAGGTCAATGGAGTTATGTTCCTAGGAGGATTATGGCTGTCTCTGCTGAGTCATGCAGGTTGTCAGGGAAATGGGGAAAAGTCAGCAGTCACAGGCCTCACCCAGCTCCCATGCAATCCAAAGGGCCGGTCTCACTCCCACGGTACCCCCCACCCTCAAAACCACCAAGTCTGTTTGCAGGCAATGGGTGAGCAAGAAAGCAGGGGATTTTAAAGGGGACTTGGCATGAATGGCATGTAAGGGAGAGAGTGAGGAAGTGTGGGGTCTTCATGACTTGCTTTGATGTCTTATCCATCAGGTGGTCTGGCTGGTGCCATCGTGGGCAGAACTAGGTTGTACATTGACTGTTGTCTCAAGGCAATCTCCTGGTGGGGAGAATCTCAGGGGGTGCCTGGTTTGGTTCAACGTTTGTTCCTTAGAATTTCTTTTTGTTTTGTTTGGTTTGGTTTGGTTTGGTTTTGAGACTCTCACTGTGTCACCCAGGCTGGAGTGCAGTGGCGTGATCTTGGCTCACTGCAACCTCTGCCTCCTGTGTTCAAACGATTCTCCTGCCTCAGCCTCCTGAGTAGCTGGGATTACAGGCCTATACCACCATACCCAGCTAATTTTTGTATTTTAGTAGAGATGGGGTTTTGCCATGTTGGCCAGGCTGGTCTCGAACTCCTGACCTCAAGTGATCCAACAGCCTCGCCCTCCCAAAGTGCTGAGATTACAGGCGTGAGACACCGTGCCTGGCCTCCTTAGAATTTCTAAGCAAACATATAGTTAGATGAGCTTGCAGCACAGAGAGTGCCTCATGGGAAGAAGGTAAATGTTATAATTGCGTTCCTTTTTTTATTTTCTTCAACTTTTATTTTAAGTTCATGGGTACATGTGCAGGATGTACAGGTTTGTTACATAGGTAAACCTACACAGGTTTGTTACAGGTTTGTTACATAGGTAACTTTTAAGTTAATGGGTACATGTGCGGGATGTACAGGTTTGTTACATACTCTCTGCAGGACAGAGAGTGCCTCATGGAAAGAAGGTAAATGTTATAATTGCGTTCCTTTTTTTTTTTCTTCAACTTTTAAGTTCATGGGTACATGTGCAGGATGTACAGGTTTGTTACATAGGTGCAGGATGTACAGGTTTGTTACATAGGTACATGTGCAGGATGTACAGGTTTGTTACATGTGCCATAGTGGTTTGCTGCACAGATCATCCCATCACCTAAGTGTTAAGCCCAGCATCCATTAGTTGTTCTTCCTGATGTTCTCCCCCAACATACCCAGGCCCCAGTATGTGTTCCCCGCAATGTGTCCATGTGTTCTCATCATTCAGCTCCCACTTATAAGTGAGAACATGCGGTGTTTGGTTTTCTGTTCCTGTGTTAGTTTGCTGTGGATGATGGCTTCAAGCTCCATCCATGTCCCTGCAAAGGACATGATCTCATTTTTTTTATGGCTGCATAGTATTCCAAGGTGTGTATGTACCACATTTTCTTTATCCAGTCTATCATTGATGGGAATTTAGATTGATTCCATGTCTTTGCTATTGTGAATAGTGCTGCAATGAACATAGGTGTGCATGTATTTTTATAATAGAATGATTTATATTCCTTTAGGCATATACCCAGTAATGGGATTGCTGGGTCAAATGGTATTTCTTTCTCTAGGTCTTTGAGGAATCACCACACTGCCTTCCACAATGGTTGAACTAATTTACGCTCCCACCAACAGTGTAAAGTCTTCCTTTTTCTCCGCAACCTTGCCAGCATCTGTTGTTTGACTTTTTAATAATAGCCATTCTGACTGGCATGAGATGGTATCTCATTGTGGTTTTGATTTGCATTTCTCTGATGATCAGTGATGTTGAGGTTTTTTTCATACGTTTGTTGGCTGCATGAATATCTTCTTTTGAGAAGTGTCTGTTTATGTCCTTTGACCACCTTTTTTTTTTTTTGAGATGGAGTCTCGCTCTGTCGCCCAGGCTGAAGTGCAGTGGCGCGATCTTGGCTCACTGCAAGCTCCGCCTCCTGGGTTCATGCCATTCTTCTGCCTCAGCCTCCCGAGTAGCTGGGACTACAGGCGCCCGCCACCACACCTGGCTAATTTTTTGTATTTTTTAGTAAAGACGGGGTTTCACCGTGTTAGCCAGGATGGTCTCGGTCTCCTGACCTCGTGATCTGCCCGCCTCGGCCTCCCAAAGTGCTGGATTACAGGCGTGAGCCAACATGCCTGGCCGACCACTTTTTAATGTTTTTTGTTTGTTTGTTTGTTTGTTTTTCATAATTGCATTCCTAAAGAGCTAAGTAAGAGGTGGGGGAAAAGGAAAAAGGTAAAAATAATTCATTATTTTCTTTAAGAATGTGGGTGCTCAGTTAACAGCTTTCAGGAGTCAACTTGCCAAAGTTAATATTTTGTAACTTCATGAATAGATCACGTTTCTGTGGTTCATGGTTTTTAATTTACAAAGTGCCTCACAATTTCTACAGGAAGTAGGTATTACTCTTTCCATTCTTATAGCCAAAGAAACTGATGATTGTCTAGTAAATTCCGTAAGTAAGACTTTTGTTCTGTATCATAGCCCTTCTGGTTATGGAGTTGGCAGTGTAGTATGTTGGAAGCTTGATGTAGCCCTCATGGTATTTCTTCTGACCCTTGTATATGTTTGCATTGATCCCACGGCCCAGTTAGCTAGTTACTTTTTTTTTTTTTTTTTTGAGACGAAGTCTCACTCTGTCGTCCAGGCTGGAGTGCAGTGGTGCGATCTCAGCTCACTGCAAGCTCCTCCTCCCGGGTTCACGCCATTCTTCTGCCTCAACATCCCGAGTAGCTGGGACTACAGGCGCCCGCCACCATGCCGGGCTAACAATTAGCTAGTTACTTTTTAAGATATTTAAGATTACTTTTGTTGCATGGTTTTATAGACTTTCCCTGGAGTGATGAGTAAAATGTCCGGCAAGATTAGTATTTTGGGGAGATCATGGAGGCTTACTCTAGACCAGCACTGTCCTATAGAAATATGAGGTGAGCCAGATACTTAATTTAAAATTTTCTAGTAGTCACATTAAAGAAAAAAGTAGATTAATTTGAGTAGATTAAAAAAGTAGATTAAGTAGATTAATTTTATTAATATATTTTGTTTAACCCAGAATATTATATCCTGGAATAATAATATCCAGAATATTATTTTAACATGTAATCAATATTTTAAAATTATTAATGATACATTTTACATTCTTCTTTTGTGTACTGAGTCTTCATAATCCGATGCGTATTTTGTGCTTACAGAGCATCTCGGTTAGTACTAGGCATGCTTTCAGTACTCTGATGAGTTGGACCTCACAGATTTAGACTCATGTATGTTTCCCTCTTTTTTCCCCTTGTTTCCCGTCTCATTAATTTGTGGCCATTAGCTTTGCCTGTTCTTTCCTGGACTTTGCTGCCTTTTCTATTCTCCTTCTTCCGACTTACCTTGTACTTAATGTGGTGTATTCTTGGCCTCTTTGTGAATTTGGTCTAAGCCATTTTCTCTTGTAAGCCCGATTACAATTTGTCAGGAAAGGGCTGGTGACCTGGGAGGAGGCTGCAAGGAGGCTATTGTCTGAAACACACACTTTTTTTTTTTTTTTTTTTTTTTGAGATGGAGGCTTGCTCTGTCACCCAGGCTGGAGTGCAGTGGCATGATCTCGGCTCATTGCAACCTCCGCTTAGCGGGTTCAAGCAATTCTCCTGCCTCAGCCTCCTGAGTAGCTGGGATTACAGGGGTGCACCACCACGCCCAGCTAATTTTTGTATTTTCAGTAGAGATAGGGTTTCAGTGTGTTGGTCAGGCTGGTTTCAAACTCCTGACTTCGTGATGCACCCGCCTCGGCCTCCCAAAGTGCTGGGAGACGCAGACTTCTTTCTTTTTCTTTTTCTTTTTTTTTTTTTTTCTTGAGACGGAGTCTAGCTCTCTCCTCCAGGCTGGAGTGCAGTGGCACGATCTCGGCTCACTGCAAGCTCCGCCTCCTGGGTTCACGCCATTCTCCCGCCTCAGCCTCCCGAATAGCTGGGACTAGAAGCACCCACCACCACGCCCGGCTAATTTTTTTGTATTTTTAGCAGAGACAGGGTTTCACCGTGTTAGCCAGGATGGTCTCCATCTCCTGACCTCGTGATCCACCCGCCTCGGCCTCCCAAAGTGCTGGGATTACAGGCGTGAGCCACCACGCCTGGCCTACAGAATTTTTTCTAAGGTGTTTCCGTCTCTTCTTCAAGTGGAGTCCATTGAAATGGTGGTAGATTATTCCATTTTGCACATTGGGGACAGTGAGTTTTATTTTCAATTTTAGAAATAAGTAGAATTTCAGAGAGAGAGAGAGTGAATATTGTGCATAGTATATTTGGGAATAAAATACCTGTTGCAGATGATAGCCTTGTATAAACAAAATGCTCTTAAAAAAACTGAATTGCAGAAGACAAAACTATCTTCATTTCTTTGCTGCTAAGGTAAGTTACTTCCAATGTTTGCAAGATCAACCACTTAATTGTGTTGTATGTGTATATGTGTAAATACATGTGCATCTAAAGGACAATTTCAAAGTAATGTTATTTAATATGATTTCTTTTCAACTTCTTAACACAGAAAAATCTGGACAAATACCCTAGCGTAGTTATTTAAAATGATAAAATTTTAAAATAAAACATTGAAGTATGTTGCTATGCATTGATATTCCATATTTTCTCTTAGAAACGGAGAAGATAAAGATATTTATCATTTACCTGAAGAAGCCCATGATTATCAGCTACAAAGAAGTCATGAAAATAGAAATCCATTTTGATTTGCAGTTCAACATATCACAAGTTTCCATTCAAGCTTTAGGAGAAGACAAACAGGTGGCAGGTTTCATTCTTTTGGATTATTTAAAAATGTTTTAGTATGTTTCATGTCTATTAAATGTCCTTGTTGGGTTTTGATGTGAATATTTGATAAAGCAGAAAACCTGGTCTTTCAAATGCCATGTAAAAAAGAGTTGAGAGTTCTGGATTTAAATCCCAGTTTTCCCTTTTGATGGGTCATTGTCTTGAGGTAGGATAGAAAGCCTCTTTGTTCCTTGAAATGCTTTACTCTACTAACTGTGAACAGCTGAAAGGTTTTCTAGGATAATATCACCCTGTTACCACCTTCTTCCTGGAGTCCTGAGGACACTGGCATTTCTGTCTCTCTCAGCTCCCCCTGGACCTAGGGGGAGTGTATTAGTCTGTTCTCACGCTGCTAATAAAGACATACCAGAGACTGGGTAATTTATAAAGGAAAGAGGTTTAATGGACTCACAGTTCAACATGGCTGGGGAGGCTTCACAATCATGGTAGAAGGCAAAGGAGGAGCAAAGTCACATCTTACATGGCGGCAGGCAAGAGAGTAGGGGAACTCCCCTTTATAAAACCATCAGATCTTGTGAGACTTACTGTCAGAACAGCATGGGAAAGACCCATCCCCATGTTTCAGTTACCTCCCATGGGGTCTCTCCCATGACATGTGGGAATTACGGGAGCTACAATTCAAGATGAGATTTGGGTGGGGACACAGCCAGACTGTATCAGGGAGTCATTAGGAATAAAGTTTCTGAGGGACTTTTTCCACAGTTGTACCTGTTGGTCTTATCTTGTGGAAATGGTCTGTACTTCTCTAGATTGCTGTGGTCTCCAACTCTCTCTGTTTCCTACTTATTGACAGAAACAGGAAACCTTTCTGTATCACAGATGGTAGACAGGGCAAAGAAATTTGTGACAAAAGGCAAAAAATACTGTGGTAATGGCCCATAGAAAGTTGAATTAAGAGCTCAGAGACCAGATAAGGAAGTCTTGGGCTGGTTTCCTTTTGGTTTGAGTTGTATATGAAGGTGTTTATATGTAGCAAAGTGCTCTGAAAATAGTTTCTAAAAACTCACCTTATTTTAATGACATGGTCTTTTTACAAAAAGGCCATTTCATGGATGAGGATGAGAAATAAAGGGGAAATCAGTCACTTGGTTAAAAAACACCTCCTCCATCAAATTACATATGTTCTGAAGACAAGTTTGCCTTAACTCACAAAAACATCGAAATCATATGTCTTTCCAGTTTCACAAAATGAATAATAACGTTTTGAGGGGAGAATGAGGATTTTCCTGTGATAAAGCTGTAGTTCCTAGAATAGGAGGCCCCTATTCTAGGGAAAGGGGTTGGACTGAGGACCCTATAGTTGGGAACTCACTACAGACTCATCCTGAAAGAGACTCAGTGCCTGAGAGAAGCAGCGGTTAGACGTTACCCAATGGGGTAAGACCTGGGCCAGAGACAGGAGAGGCTGGGAAGATACCAGGAAAGAGTGCTTGGAGCAGGGGAATGGCTAGCCCGAGCTGGTCCTGTAGGGAGGTGGGGCCTGGAGAAGCCAGAAACAGTGGAATGATCCTTCAGGAGAGGACAAACTGGTAAACTTGACTAACTTCTGATTTATCAGTGTGTTTTGTTCTAAGCTTTACGTTTTCCTTAAATTTTTTTTTTTTTAAAGATGACTACATTTCAAAGTTGACCTTTGTCTTGCATTTCAGATGTTGCCTGACCAGACGAAAATCTCCTCAGAACTTTTTAGTAAGTCTGATAAAGAAGACAGGGAGAGTCCCAGTGGCCTTGAAAGAGAAACAGGTATATTGGGAAATAACAAAATTCTGACCCTGAGTTTTCTGTAAAAGCGATGAAACCTTAGTTGGAAGAGGTCACTGGAAACCTGTGGTCATATGAGTGATGCGTGTCTGATGGCACTTCTGGAGGAAGAAGAGTTGCTGATAGCCTTGAATTGTTTTCTACACCTGTTAAGGTCTCTCTTGTGGGTCAACTGGAAATGACAAAGAAGAAATGATGGGGTTTGGGGGAGGCAGGACATGGGGGTAAGGAAGGTCTTGTCTACCCACAAAGTCGGCCCTGCACTAGACCGTGTTTCTCTTTTGAGTTATGCCCCAAGGCTGTTTTCCCAAGTGCCCATAGATTTCTTTTCTTTTTTTTTTTTTTTTGAGATGGAGTCTTGCTCTGTTGCCCAGGCTGGAGTGCAGTGGCACGATCTCGGCTCACTGCAACCTCTGCCTCCTAGGTTTAAGCAACTCTTCTGCCTCAGCCTCCCAAGTAGCTGGTACTACAGGTGTGTGCCACCATGCCCAGCTAATTTTTTGTATTTTCAGCAGAGACGGGATTTTGCCATGTTGGCCAGGCTGGTCTCAAACTCCTGGCCTCAAGTGATCTGCCCATTTTGGCCTCCCAAAGTCCTGGGATTACAGACGTGAGCCAACATGCCAGCCTGTACCCATAGCTTTCTGATTGGAGGTTTGAGGCAGGACCTAATTACCAGGTCTTACCAAAGGATGGAGAGGTACCAGAGGGGACATCCCATGAAGACCACTGGTGAGTATGTCAGCGTGTGCACGGTTATTATATTAGTCTTTTTCTTAATTTGTATAGAGCAGGCAGAAGAATCCACTAACATGGTGGAGTTTATGAGTGCTGAAGATGACCGCTGCCTAATAACTCTCCACTTAAATGACCAATCTGAGCCACCTGTTATTGGGGAACCTGCCTCTGATAGTCACGTAGGTTCTTTTCTATTTTCCCTAAGCATCGGCCAGGTTGAGAAATAAAGGGACGGACTACAAAAGAGAGAAATTTTAAAGTTGGGCATCCAGGGGAGACATCACATGTCGGTAGGTTCCGTGATGCCCCCTGAGCTGTAAAACCAGCAAGTTTTTATTAGGGATTTTCAAAAGGGGAGGGAGTGTACGAATAGGGTGTGGGTCACAGAGATCACGTACTTCACAAGGTAATAGAATATCACAAGGCAAATGGAGGCAGGGCGAGATCACAGGACCACAGGACCGGGGCGAAATTAAAATTGCTAATGAAGTTTCGGGCACCATTGTCATCAATAACATCGTATCAGGAGACAGGGTTTGAGAGCAACCGGTCTGACCAAAATTTATTAGGCGAGAATTTCCTCGCCCTAATAAGCCTGGGAGCGCTATGGGAGACTGGGGCTTATTTTATCCCTACAGTCTCGACCATAGAAGATGGTCACACCCAAGGGGGCCATTTTAGAGGCCCACCCTCAGGGGCGCATTCTCTTTCTCAGGTATGTTCCTTGCTGAGAAAAAGAATTCAGCGATATTTCTCCCATTTGCTTTTGAAGGAAGAGAAATATGGCTCTGTTCCACCCGGCTCACCGGCGGTCAGAGTTTAAGGTTATCTCTCTTATTCCCTGAACATTGCTGTTATCCTGTTCTTTTTTCAAGGTGCCCAGATTTCATATTGTTCAAACACACATGCTCTACAATTTGTGCAGTTAACGCAATCATCACAGGGTCCTGAGGTGACATACATCCTCCTCAGCTGACAGGATTAAGAGATTAAAGACAGGCATAGGAAATCACAAGGGTATTGTGATACCCTTGTGATACAAGGGTATCACAAGGCATAGGAAATCACAAGGGGAAGTGATAAGTGTCCATGAAATCTTCACAATTTATGTTCAGAGATTGAGTAAAGACAGGCATAAGAAATTATAAAAGTATTAATTTGGGGAACTAATAAATGTCTATGAAATCTTCACAATCCACGTTCTTCTGCCATAGCTTCAGCCGGTCCCTCCGTTCGGGGTCCCTGACTTCCCGCAACAACCTGTGAGTACAGGGAGTGGGGCTCAAGTTTCTTATCTGTCTCCAGTGGGACTGTGACAGGTGGAAGCCACCTTTCCTGGTTCATGGACCATTTTCTCCTGGCCAACCATCTGTCAATTTAAAAAAATTTTTTTAAGACAAGGCCTTGTTCTGTCATCATAGCTCACCGTGGCCTCAGCCTCCCAGGCTCATGTGATCCTCCCGCTTCAGCTTCTTGAGTAGCAAGAACTACAGGTGGTGCCACCACGCCTGGCTTATTTTAAAATTTTTTATAGAGATGGAGTCTCGCTCCATTCCCCAGGCTGGTCTCAAACTCCTGGACTTAAGAGATTCTCCCATTTTGGCTTCCCAAATCTCTGGGATTACAGGCATGAGCCACCATGCCCCATCAGCCATCTGTCAATTTTTTGACCATCCCCTCCTTGAGATTGTTTTTGCCTCCATGTTTGTGTATACTCTTTTCTTTACTTTTTTTTTTTTTTTAAGACTGAGTTTCGCTAATGGCACAATCTTGGCTCACTGCCACCTCCGCCTTCTGGGTTCAAGCAATTCTCCTGCTTCAGCCTCCTGAGTAGCTAGGATTATAGGGGCATGCCACCATGCCTACCTAATTTTTGTATCTTTAGTAGAGACTGGGATTTGCCATGTTGGCCAGACTGGTCTCAAACTCCTGACCTCAGGTGATCACCAGCCTCCGCCTCCCAAAGTGCTGGGATTACAGGCATGAGCAACCACACCTGGCCGCACCCGGCTGTGTATTCTCTTTTCATTCAACTCGGCTTTTCCTTGGAATACATGACTTGTTTGGCCTCTGCCTCATTTCTTCATTTGGGATCTAGAGACTGAAGGAGCCTAATGTTTGGGAGTGAGACTTAGCTCCTCCCTGGCCTGAAATGAGAATGAACTATTAGCAGCTGAATGCTACAGCCCCTTAAGAGGCAGGAGGGCTTGAGGACTGGGCCCTGAAGATACCCAACAAACAGAACTCAAAAAAACAAGCTCCATATTAAAATCAAGCACAAACATGTATTCATCACAGCATTTATGAAAATTAATGTAAGAACAGAAAAATTTTAAAAATATAAATATCAAAGTACAGTTGAATAATCCATCAGAAAGATTAAACTTGCCCTAAATCTCTAATCTTTTATAATCCAGGCTTAATTTCAAAATGCTTTATGTTTTAAACAGAAATTACCCTCCTGGGCTGGGTGCGGTGGCTCACACCCGTAATCCCAGCACTTTGGGAGGCCAAGGTGGGTGGATCATCTGAGGTCAGGAGTTTGAGACCAGCCTGGCCAACATAGTGAAACTCCGTCTCTAGTAAAAGTACAAAAAAAAAAAATTAGCTGGGTGGTGGCATGCGCCTGTAATCCCAGCTACTCTGGAGGCTGAGGCAGGATAATTGCTTGAACACAGGAGGCAGAGGATACAGTGAGCCAAGATGGCGCCACTGCACTCCAGCCTGGGCGATAGGGTGAGACTCCATCTCAAAAAAAAGAAAAAAGAAAAAGAAATAACTCTCCTCTTTGGTTTTGGTTCTTCTAAAATGTAGAGAGGCTTGTCTTTGCAAAAAATATTCCCATACTTTTCTTTTGCCATCTGACTTAGTATTTTCAAGTAGTATTAGGCACAATATTGAGATTGGTCTGCTTTTGAACAGTCATCCACCATCTCTTCTGTTGCAAACGTTTTATTAGAAAGGATTTTGTCATCCTATACAACAGCAACTTGGTTGAGAATTGACTGATGGAATAATCCTTTTCTTCCACTCCATACTTCTTTGCTTTTATATTATATAAGAGAGCCCAGTCTTCTAGAAGGGTACTTCTCTTATCTCTAGCTTTGTAGAATATGTTTAGTTATACATAAGAGGCACTAACACCCCTCTAAAAATTCTCATTTATGATCTGTGCTTGTAGAAGTCTCATTACAGAAAACATCTCTTCTCTGAGAGTAATCAAGATTCAAGTACCAGTGAACTATCTTGGACCAGTAACCAGAAAAAGAAATCCCTAAAATCATATTCCAGTAGAAAGAAGACAAGAACCAGAAGTAATTTGAGAAGTAAGTCTGGCATGTCTTCTTTTGAATCACTTTTCAAATAGTGATTTTCAAATCAGATATTTATTTTTCAGTATATAATGGGAGTGGGTCCAAAGAAATATATGATTATGGGGCCAGCTTTCCCTGCTACAGTTACACTGGAAAGGCAAAATGTACTGTGTACATGAAACAGAAGAACATGAAATTAACCAACAGTTGTTACAGATGAGTTTTGTATAAATGGAGTAGAAATTCAGATAAGAGGAATCTGTCATGAGCTGGAATCATCAGGAAAATCTTTAAGGAAGAGGTGGGTGGGACTTGAATTAACCTTTGGAAAAAAGAATAGAATGTGAAGAGGAGAAAGGGAAGCATTCTTAGGTAGGTAAAACTACAAGGGCATGCATGGTGGCTCACGCCTCTAATCCTGGCACTTTGGGAGGCCGAGGTGGGAGGGTTGTTTGAGCCCAGGAGTTTGAGACCAGCCTAGGCAATGTGGTGAGACCACACCTCTAGAAAATTAAAACATTAGCTGGGCATGGTGGTGTGCGCCTGTGGTCCCAGCTACTGGGGAGGCTGAGGCAGGAGGATTGCTTGAGCCCAGGAGGTCAAGGCTGCAGCGAGCAGTGATCGTGCCACTGCACTGCAGCTCAGGCGACAGAGTGAGACCCTGTCTCAAACGAAACAAACTACAAGGACACAACAAGCATGTGAGGGTGACATTCAGGGACAAAGTCTAGAGCAGAGAATTCATGCTGAGTGGTGAGGAACTGAGTGGTGAGGAACAAGGTTGAATAATCAGGAAAGGATCTTAAGAGTAGACATTTCTGGAAGCTGTAGGAAGTGGGAATTGCTTTTAGTGTTAGCATATTGGGAGACGGAGTAGAGAATTTTTATGCCTCATGAGTTAATGTATATGTTGTGCACTTGTTTTCTTTCAATTTAGTCTTGCCAGTTTTCCCTCCCAGTAGTGGCAGTGGCCATGAGAAAGACCAAGTAAGTACATTGTATCTGGGTTGCTGTGTGCCCTGTGAGTTAAACTGCATTTATTTCTCCAAAAACAACTTTCAGAAATATAAAAATAACAAAATATTGGTTTACTGATATGTGAATCACCGCCAATAGAAATTTCAAGGTCTTCTAAATGTTTAATATGACTCTTGGGTAAGTAAGTGTTTAAGGTGTTTTAGGCTGGGTGTGGTGGCTCACGCCTGTAATCCCAGCACTTTGGGATGCCAAGGCGGGTGGATCACTTGAGTTTGGGAGTTCGAGACCAGCCTGGGCAACATGGTGAAACTCCGTCTCTACAAAAAATACAAAAATTAGCCAGGCGTGGTAGCACATGCTTATAGTCCCAGCTACGCAGGAGGCTGAGGTGGGAGGATGGCTTTAGCCTAGGAGGTGGGGTTTGCAGTGAGCCGAGATTGTGCCACTGCGCTGCAGCCTGGGTGACAGAATGAGACCGTGTCTCAAAAAAAAAAAAAAAGATTGAGGGTCTTTTTTTTTTTTTTTTTAACTGTTCCCAAATGTTGCTGGAGGATGTTTATTATGAATGATGCTAAAATTCTGGGCTATTCCAATTTCCTGCAAATTTACTCTTTTGAATTTATGTTTTGATGTAAACTTGTTGGTTTAGTTCTTCCCTTAGTTTTTTCTAAAGCTTTTAATGGTTTAATTATTTAGACATTTATTTTGCAAGTGCTTAGGATACCTTCGGGCTTATATAAATATTGAATAAACCCTCAAAGTTTCTTCATTTCCCTTCACTTATCCTTGTTTTATATCAGAGTAGTTAAGAATAGAGACAGCAGTGTCTGCACCAATTCAAAGCCAACTTTTGCCGTTTATTCACTGAATTACCTCTCTCAGCAGTTGGTTTGTGTTTTGTGTCACGTGAGCTATGTATACAGTACAGAGCATATCAGCAAGTTCGGAGCGGTTTATAAGGAGTGGCTGCTGTGATTCTGAGAGTATCGACAGTGCCCCGCTTGCTCATGCAGAAATAGTTTGGTTAGGGTTTTAATCACATCTTCATCGTCTGTCTTCCATCAGCCTGGAGTGTGTTGCCCTCTGTCCACCTGAAGGGCTCTCATGCTCTGTAAGGAGAGGGGTGGGTTAAACCTATGAGCCAGAGTAAGTATTTATTCATTGAATAGTTCAACCTGAAATAATGAGTTATCAGTTAGAAATGGACCCAAAGAACAGTTTCTAGTAATACAGCTTTTATTTGGAATAAACACCAAAGAAATACCACAGCTTCAAAAAAAATTTTTTTTTTGAGACGGAGTCTTGCTCTGTCACCTAGGCTGAAGTGCAGTAGTGCGATCTCAGCTCACTGCAACCACCACCTCTCAGGTTCAAGTGATTCTCCTGCCTCAGCCTCCTGAGTAGCTGGGATTACAGGCGTCTGCCACCACGCCCAGCTAATGTTTGTATTTTCAGTAGAGACAGAGTTTTGCCATGTTGGCCAGGCTGGTTTCGAACTCCTGATCTCAAGTGATCCACCTGCCTTGGCCTCCCAAAGTGCTGGGATTACAGGCGTGAGCCACCGTGCCTTGCCACAGCTTAAAAAATCGATAAATTTAAGCTGTGCCTCTGGCAAGAAATCTATGTTGATTTTCAGTGAGGGCATTGCTGACTTTCTACAAATACTGGTATTCAAAAATATACTTCTCTCTGTATAAGAGAATAATTTACAGCAGAGGTCAGGTCAGCACATTTTTTCTGTAAAGGGCCAGATAGTAAATACTTTTGGCTTTCTGAGCCATGCAATCTCTTTGGCAACTACTCACCTCTGCCTTTGTAGCCAGAAAACAGCCAGAGACGGAATGGAAACACATGGGTATGCTGTGTTCTAATAAAACTTTGCTTTCAAGAACAGCAACAGATTAGTTTGCCAACCCCTGATACAGAGCAGTGGTTCTCAAACACTAGTGGCCATCACAATGACCAGGATGGCTTGCTGAAACATAGATTGCTGGGTCCTGTCCCTAGAGTTTTGAATTGAATAGATGGGACTTGAGAATTTGCATTTCCATCAAGTTCCCAGATACTGCTCATGTGCCAGTCTAGACCACACTTCGAGACCACACTTCGAGTTATCTACTGAAATATGACTTCACGTTCTTCCAATTCAGGGGTCTTACGATCTTAGTATTTATTTTTTTGTGGCTACGTTTATTAGATGTGTCTTTGAAAAATTAAAAAGAGAAGCTCAATAGCATTTATACCAAACTTTGAATGAAAGCACAAGGAGAAATTTCCTATTCAGTAAAAATGCAGTCAGAATTTTATTTACTGCAGTAAAATCTCAATTAACTCAATTAATCCTCAAGAAGGAAGGATTTAGTTAATGTAATTTTCCTGCCAATTAAAATTTAAATCTAGTATCCCCTTACACTAATTCTAATTGTTAGATATTTTATTTTCTTAGCTTAGTAAGCTGAGTAAAGGAAATATAATTGAATCATTGATCATTTAGGATTTTCACTAGGATCATTAGGCAGATCAGTTCTCATGCTGTAATAGAATAGAGGCAGGTAGAGCAGGAATGTTTAAATGAGTAGTCGCTTTGCTTTGACCCTAGGACTTTAGACAGGCACATTCCCTCTGTCTCTGTCTCGTGCACTCTGTCTCTCTCTTAACTAAATCTCTGAAATAAGCTTGCTTTATTCTCCCTCCCCTTTGGTTTTTATTAATGTATTTAATGAAAGTACTATTATTTGCAAATGTCTTTAAGGTAATTTTAAATTAATGAAAATAGTGATGTTGTAGTTCCTAAGGAAAACATTTCTGTCTCAATATATACTTTAAAAATAATTCAAAGAGTCAAGGTTTGAATCTATTGTCCATTTGAGGGGAGCAGTACTTGAATGCAGAGCCATTAGAAGACAACTGGAAATTGGCTGGGTGCGGTGGCACATGCCTGTAATCCCAGCGCTTTGGGAGGCCAAGGCGGGCAGATCACCTGAGGTCAGGAGTTTGAGGCCAGCCTGGCCAACATGGCGAAACCCCATCTCTAATAAAATACAAAAAAATTAGCTGGGTGTGGTGGCGCGTGCCTATGATTCCAGCTACTCATGAGGCTGAGGCACGAGAATTGCTTGAACTCAGTAGGTGGAGGTTGCAGTGAGTTGAGATCACACTACTGCACTCTAGCCTGGGTGACAGAGTGATTCCATCTTAAAAAAGATAACTGGAAATTGGAAATTCAAGAATCTGTAAGATTCTTTCCAACTGTGAAAACCAGAGTCTGGGATCAGGTGCCAGCCTTTCTCTTTTTACCTAACAGAATTTCTGATTTCCAAGGATTCATGAGATTTTCATTTCTGTATCTCGAGAAAGAGTAAATGACCTAATTCAGATTCAGTACCATGGCATTAAGCTAATATCCACCCCTCAACTAAAAACACACAGAAATTCTTAGTAGAATTAGCATTTATTTTCAAATGGAGTAAATCTAATACTTAAGCTTCTTAAAGTAATATTGAAAATGTCTTACAATATTTTGATAACTTGTTTTTAATTATGAATGTTAACACTTAAAAAAGATACTATATTTTAGGCTAAGCTTCTATCACCATCAGAGAAAGAAATACCCGAGCAAAATAACACCACATCTCCAAAGACTTCTGAACAAAAATTCCAAGATAGTTTTGCTTTTTTGACTGCTGAAGATTCTGCCCAGAAAACAGGTACATGATTTTCTGTTGACTTACATAGGAAAAAATTTGTATTTGGGAAAGGTAGTTTGAAGTAAACAAAACATTTTTATTTTAATATCTATTAAAGAAAATATGAAGATAACATTGTTCTTTACCTTAATGTCTCTTATTAGCAAATTAACAGAGGATATGATGTTTTAATTTTGCTGTGCCATTTGAGATCATCTTGTACCCAAGAATTGCTGGTCTCTTCTTTTTTTAAAGAAGCAAGACATCTCAAATGATGACCTGTAGCAGGGGTTGGTAAACATTTTTTGTAAGGTTCCAATAGTAAATATTTTTTGCTTTTTGATCCATATGGTTTCTTTTTCTTTTCTTTTTTTTTGACACGGAGTCTTGCTCTGTCACCCAGGCTGGAGTGCAATGGTGTGCTCCTGGCTCACTGCAACCTCCGCCTCCCAGGTTCAAGCGATTCTCCTGCCTCAGCCTCCCATGCCCGGCTAATTTTTGTATTTTTAGTTGAGACGGAGTTTCACCATGTTGGCCAGTCCAGTCTGGAACTCCTGACCTCAAGTGATCTGCCCACCTTGCCTTCCCAAAGTGCTGGGACTACAGGCGTGAGCCACCATGGCCAGACTTGATCCATATGGTTTCTGTTGTGACTATTCAACTCTGCAGTTGTTGCACAAAATTGGCCATGGATAAGATGTAAGCCAATGGGGTGGCTGTCTTTCCATAAAACTTTATTTATAAAATCAGGTAGCAGACTGGATCTGACTTGGGGGCCAGAGTTTGCCAACCCTTAACCTATAGGCTTTTTCTTAACCCTCACTGTATTTTATTTTGACTGTGTTTTTAAGTTTGTTAATAATATGATTTTATTATTATTAATAACAATATTAATATTGTTCATTATTCTGCAGTTCACATTGCCAGGCATACAATGATATTTAGTAAGTACTTCAATAACAATCTGTTAGTGTAGCTGCCACTGGAAGAAAATAAGTAGGGAAAATCAAAAAGTAGAGAGGAAAATGTAACATTAAAGAATAAAAGGGGTCAGGCGCAGTGGCTCCCTCCTGTAATCCCAGCACTTTGGGAGGCTGAGGCGGGCAGATCACCTGAGGTCAGGAGTTCGAGACCAGCCTGACCAATATAGTGAAACCTCGTCTCTACTAAAAATACAAAAACTAGCCAGGCATGGTGGCAGGCACCTGTAGTCCCAGCTACTCGGGAGGCTGAGACAGGAGAATTGCTTGAACCGGGAGGCAGAGGTTGCAGTGAGCCACTGCACTCCAGCCTGGGCGACAGAGTGAGACTCTATCTCACAAAGAAAAAAAAATAGATTAAAAGGAAGGAAGAGAGCAAGATAGGGAAGAAAGGAACAAAGTTACTACAAAAGAGTAACAATCAACAAAATGGCAATACTAAGTTTTTACCTATCAATAATTACTTTAAATGGATTAAATTCTCCAATCAAAAGACACAGAGTGGTTGAATGGATAGAAAAAAGTGAGATTCAGCAATCTGCTGCTTACAGGGGACTCACTGTACCTTAAGGACAGATATAAACTGAAAGTGAAGGGTCGGAAAAAGATATTCCATGCAAATGGCAATCAAAAGAGAGCAGGGATGTGGTTATACCTACATCAGGCAAAATAGACTTTCTGTCAAAATTTGTCACAAGAGACAAAGACTAGATGATGATAAAAGGGTTAATTCATCAACAGGAAATAGCAATTGTAAATATATATATGCACCCAACATTACAGCACCTAAATGTATAAAGCAAATATTAATAGACCTGAAGAGAGAAATAGCAATACAATAAAAGAGTTCTTTAATTACCCCACCTTCAATAGTCGATAGATTATCCAGATAGAAAATCAATAAGGAAACAGTGGCTTGAATAATACTGTAGACCAGATGAATCTAACTAACATATACAGAACATTCCATCTAACAGCAGTGGAACACTTATTCTTCTCCAGTGTACAGTGCGCATGGGACATTCTCCAGAATTGATCATATGTTGGGCTACAAAATACATCTTAACAAATTTGAAAAGATTGAGATAATCTCAGATGTCTTTTCTGATCACAGCAGTATGAAACTAGAAATAATAGCAGGAGGAAGATTGGAAAATTCACAAATACATGGAAATTAAACAACACACTCCCGAATAACCAATGGATCAAATAAATTAAAAGGGAAATTAAAAAATCTTGAGATAAATGAAAATGGAAACATACCAAAATTTACAGGATGCAGCAAGAGCAGTGTTAAAAGGGGAGTTTATTAGCAATAAATACCTACCTTAAGAAAAAAGGAAAATCCCAAGTAACTTCACCCCTCAAGAAACTGAAAAAAGAAGAAACTAAACCCAAAGTCAGCTTAACGAAGAAAATAACAAATATTAAGGCATAAATAAATGAAGTAGGCACTAGAAAGACAATAGAAATGTTCAATGAAACTAAGAGTTTGTGTTTGGAAAGAATGAAATTGACAGACCTTTAGCTAGACTAACCAAGAGAAAGAGAGGACTCAAAAAAAACTGTTAATGAAAAAGGAGACACTACAACTGATACCACAGAACTACAAAGGATCATAAGCCATTACAACAAACAAATTATACACCAACAAATTGGATAACCTAGAAGAAATGGGTGAGTTTCTAGAAACATGCGACCTACCAAGACTGAATATAAAGAAATAGAAAAGCTGAACAGACCCATAATGAGTAAGGAGATCAAATCAGTAATCAAACCTCCCAACGGAGAGTAGCCCAGGGCCAGACGGTTTCACTGGTGAACTCTACCAAGTATTTAAAGAAAAATTAATGCCAATCCTTTTCAAACTCTTCCAAAAAACTGAGGTGGACAGAACACTTCCAAACCCATTTTATGAGGCCAGCATTACCCTCTTGTCAAAGCCAGATAAGAATGCTACAAGAAAAGAAAATTACAGGCCAATGTCTCTGATGAACGTATATGTAAAAACCCTCAAAAATACTAGCAAAACTTACTAAATAGCACATTAAAAGGACTATACACCATGTTAAAGTAGGATTTATCCCTGAGATTCAAGGAAGTTTCCATATATGCAAATCAATAAATGTGATAAACCACATTAAGAGAATGAAGGTTAAATTCATAGAATCATTTCAATAGATGCAAAAAAAGCATTTGACAAAATTTAACATCCTTTCATAATGACTTTCAACAAATTAAGTACATATAGAATGCACCTCAATATTAAAAAGGCCATATATGACAAGCCCAGAGCTAGCATTCCACTCAATGGTGAAAAGCTGAAAGCTTTTCCTCTAAGATCAGGAATACGACAAAGGTGTCTACTCTTGCCACTTCTGTTTAACATAGTACTGGAAGTCCTACCCAGTTCTATCCAGGCAAGAAAAAGAAATAAAAGACATCCAAATAGGAAGATGTTAAATTGTTTTTGTTTAAAGATGACATGATTTTACATATATCAAACTGTAAAGGCTTCACCAAAAAACTGTTAGAACTAATAAATGAATTCAGTAAAGTTGCAGGATACAAAATCAACATACAAAAATCAGTTGTGGGGTTTGCTTCTGGGTTTCAACAAAACAAAACAAAAATCAGTTGCATTTCTAGACACTAACAGTAAACTGTCTAAGAAAGAAATCAAGAAAATCTCAGCCAAGCATGGTGGCTCATGCCTGTAATCCCAGCACTTTGGGACGCCAAGGCCGGAGGATTACGAGGTCAGGAGATCGAGACCATCCCAGCTAACACAGTGAAACCCCATCTCTACTAAAAATACAACATATTAGCTAGGCATGGTGGCACACTCCTGTAGTCCCAGCTACTCAGGAGGCTGACGCGGGAGAATTGCTTGAATCCAGGAGGTGCAGGTTGCAGTGAGCTGAGATCACGCCACTGCATTTCAGCCTGGGTGACACAACGAGACTCCATCTCAAAAAAAAAAAGAAAATTTCATTGATAATAGCTTACAAAAAACACATAAAAATAACCAAGGAGGTGAAAGGTCATAATCTGAAAACTATAAGACATTGATGAAATTAATTGAAGACACAAATAAATGGAAGAATATCCTATGTACATGGATTGGAAGAATTGTTAAAATGTCCTTATTATCCAAAGCAATATACAGATTCAATTCAACTGCTATCAAATTTCTACTGGCATTTTTCACAGAAATAGAAAAAACTATCCTAAAATTTATATGGAACCACAAAAGATCCTAAATAGCCAAAGCAATCTTGAGAAAGAGGAATAAAGCTGGAGGCATCACACTTTCTGATTTCAAAGTGTATTCAAAAACTATAGTAATCAAAACAGTATAGTACTGCCATAGAGACAGGCACATAGGCCAAGATAACATTATGGGCCCAGACATAAACCTACACATATATATGGCCACTTAATCTTTGAAAAGGGCACCAAGAATACACAATGAGGAAAGGAAAGCGTCTTCAATAAATGTTTTGGGAAAACTGGTTATCCACATACTAAACAATGAAATTGGGCCTTTGTTTTATACCATATACAAAAATCAACTCAAAATAGGTTAAGACTTTAAGATCTAAAACTGTACAAGACAAAAATAGGGAAACAGCTCTTTGACATTGGTCTTAGCAATGATTTCTTGCATACAACCCTAATAGCACAATAAACTTTTGGGACTATGTCATACTAAAAATCTTGTGCACAGCAAAGAAAGCAATCAATCAAATGGAAAGACAACCTAAAGAATGGGAGAAAATATTGCAAATCATATATCTGATAATAGGTTAGGGGTTAATATTCAAAATAACTTCCACAACTCAAAAGCAAGACAACACATAACCTAATTAAAAATGGGTAAAGAAGCTGAATAGACATTTTTCCAAAAAAGAAGCACAAATGGCTAATGGGTATATGTACTCAACATCACTGATCATTAGAGAAATGCAAATCAAAACCATAATGTGATATCTCACACCTGTCCAGATAGCTATTATCGAAAAGACAGGAGATAACAAGTGTTGGCAAGGGTATGGAGAGAAGGGAACAATTGTACGCTGTTGGTGAGAATGTAAACTGATGCAACTATTGTGGAAAACAGTATGGTGTTTTCTCAAAAAAATTAGAATTGTATAGAATCCATCAATCCCACTTCCATGTATATATCCAAAGCAGATAAAATCAGCATCTTGAAGAGAGATCTGCACTCCCATGTTTATTGCAGCATTATTCACAATAGCCAGGATATGGAATCAGCCTAAGCACTGGTCAGTGGATGAATGAATATAGAAAATGTGGTATATATTAATAATGGAATACTATTCAGCCTCAAAAAAGAAGGAAATCAGGCCATATGCAACAACATGGATAAACCTGGAGGACATTATAGTAAGTGAAATAAGCTAGTCACTAAAGGACAAATACTATATAATCTCACATATATACGGAATGTAAAAAAGTCAAACTCATAGAAACAGAGAATGGAACAGTGGTTGCCAGGTGCTAGGAGGTGGGGGGAAAGAGGAGATGGTCCTCGAAGGATATAAACTTTCAGGCATAACATGAACAAGTTCTGGGGATGTAATATACAGCACAGGTAGTGATGGATGTGTTCATCGATTTGAAAGTGATAATCATTACACCGTATATATGTATATCAAATCATCAAAAAAGAGTAAGAGGCAATAAGGGAGGGGTTTCTAAGGGAGAGAAGAATCACAAGATTGAGGTGGAAGAATCCCTGCCCGTGTTATTTGAGGCCAGATGGGCAGCTCCTTAAGGTGCCGATCTAGTTGAAGTAACTGGCTGTTAATCTTAACTACAGATGTACAAACCTAATAAGAATTCATCTTTGACAAACCTGACAAAAACAAGAAATGGGGAAAGGATTCCCTATTTAATAAGTGGTGCTGGGAAAATCGTCTAGCCGTATGTAGAAAGCTGAAACTGGATCCCTTCCTTACACCTTAAACAAACATTAATTCAAGATGGATTAAAGACTTAAATGTTAGACTTAAAACCATAAAAACCCTAGAAGAAAACCTCAGCAATACCATTCAGGACACAGGCATGGGCAAGGACTTCGTGTCTAAAACACCAAAAGCAATGGCAACAAAAGCCAAAATTGACAAATGGGATCTAATTAAACTAAAGAGCTTCTGCACAGCAAAAGAAACCACCATCAGAGTGAACAGGCAACCTACAGAATGGGAGAAAATTTTTGCCATCTACTCATCTGACAAAGGGCTAATATCCAGAATCTACAAAGAACTCAAACAAATTTACAAGAAAAAAACAACCCCATCCAAAAGTGGGCAAAGGATATGAACAGACACTTCTCAAAAGAAGACATTTATGCAGCCAACAGACACATGAAAAAATGCTCACCATCACTGGCCATCAGAGAAATGCAAATCAAAACCGCAATGAGATACCATCTCACACCAGTTAGAATGGCGATCATTAAAAAGTCAGGAAACAACAGATGCTGGAGAGGATGTGGAGAAATAGGCACACTTTTCTTTTACACTGTTGGTGGGAGTGTAAACTAGTTCAACCATTGTGGAAGTCAGTGTGGTGATTCCTCAGGGATCTAGAACTAGAAATACCATTTGACCCAGCCATCCCATTACTGGGTATATACCCAAAGGATTATAAAACATGCTGCTATAAAGACACATGCACAGGTATATTTATTGTGGCACTATTCACAATAGCAAAGACTTGGAACCAACCCAAATGTCCAACAACGATAGACTGGATTAAGAAAATGTGGCACATATACACCATGGAATACTATGCAGCCATAAAAAATGATGATTTCATGTCCTTTGTAGGGACATGGATGAAGCTGGAAACCATCATTCTCAGCAAACTCGCAAGGATGAAAAACACCACATGTTCTCACTCATAGGTGGGAATTGAACAATGAGAACACATGGACACAGGAAAGGGAACATCACACACTGGGGCCTGTTGTGGGGTGGGGGGAGGGGGGAGGGATAGCATTAAGAGATATATCTAATGTTAAATGACGAGTTAATGGGTGCAGCACACCAACATGGCACATGTATACATACGTAACCTGCACGTTGTGCACATGTACCCTAAAACTTAAAAGTATAATAAAAAAGAATTCGTGTCCCGAAAGACACAGTCAGTAGATTTTTGTTTCACTTAGAACTGTGTTCCTTTTTTTTGATGATGAGATTTAATATCTAGAATGATAGTGAATTCTTATTGCTTTGTTACTTGGCGTGTATTCACTTGAAACTTCTCTCTAATGCTCAGAGCTTCAAGATCCTCACTCACTGAGTGAGCTCTCTTCCTTGAAGCACTCAGAAGATGAAGAAAAACCTAAGGTACTATTTAATTGTTGGTTATTCATCTGATTTTCCAGAATTAATATCATATTTGCATAACACATTGGCTATTCCTTCTGACGAGTACACCACTTGTTTCTTGCTTTGCCATAAAGGACGTAATTTGTGGTCTGTTTTGTTTTTAAGATTGTGAACCAAGAATCACTAACAGAAAGTACTAGCTTGAAACATAAGCTGAGAAACTTGGAAGACAAAGGTAAGAGAATAGTACTTTTTTTTTTTTTTTTGCAGAATAAAATGAAATTAATCTGATTTTGGCAGACTGGGCTGTTACTCAGATTGCAGATCAAGTCACTTTGCACAGTGACTATTGCCAGGCCGTGGAGGGAGCAGTGTGAGCTGCTTACTAGTTCTAAATGTTCATGAAGGTTAGGAGGAAAAATGGGGGGCTCCATTCAGGAACCAGGACCTCTTGTGCCAAGGAAGGTATAGCCTGGGACCTGAATCCCACCAGCCAGTCACACCTTCTCTCCAGCCTCAGAGGAGGGCACAGTGGCGGTACTTTGCTAAGGGTCTCATCCAGAGCTGATTTCATTCTCAAGCATGTAGGTCACTTGTGGTTTATAAGAAATGTTCTAAAACATTGTGTGGTCAAATTATTAAAACTTCTGAGTTCATTTACTCATGTTAACAGTGGTATGAAGATTTCCAGTCTGGTTCACAATGTTGTATCTAATATAATGTAATGAGTTAATATAATACTTTTCTACTGTTTATGATGTTTCTTGACTGCATTTTTTTCTCTACTTTTAAAATTACGTATCGAAAGGATTCAACTAGTTATAAATATGTGTAGGATATTTAGAATATTAATGCAACAAATATCTGCAAACCACCATCCTGTTTTAGGAATATAACATTACTATTGCTTTCAAAATCCTGGTATGCTTTACCTGAAACCCATCCCACCCCCTCCCCTTAATTTTATGTCTGAGTCTCTGCTTTTTTGTTCATTCGTGCGTTGTGAGAAATACCATACATTCAGAAGAGATAGATGTGTACAGTTTAAAGAATGACTATAAAGTGAACATCTGTGTAACCACAGCTCAAACTGGGAACTAGAAAATTGCCATTGGCTTAGAATCCTTCCATACCAGATTATTACTTATTAATTTCTTTCATCCCTCATAGAGGTAATGACTTATGACTTTTGTAAACATCCTTCAGTTACTTCTTTTTATAATTTTGCTTTCTCCATATGTATCCCTAAATAATATACAGTTTAGTTTTATCTGATTCTAAATGTAAACAAATGACATTATACTGTATACATTATATGTGGCTTCTTTTGCTCAATCATTTGTGAGATCCATTCATGCTAATGTGTGTAATTGAGGTATATTTCTTTACTATTTAGCATGCAGTTACATGAAAATACCATATTTAAAAATCCATTCCAGTGCTGTGGGATATTTGGATTTTTGCAATTTGGGTTGTTAGAAATAATGCCACTATGAAGAATCATGAACTCTCTCCTGATACACAGGTTAAAAATCTTGTCTAGGCACATTTTTAGGAGTATAATTGCTGGGTTATAAAATATGTATACCTTTAACAATTTTACATATGCCAAACTTTCTCAAAGTGACTGTATCTTTTACTTTTCCACCAGCCGTATATGAGAGTCCTGTTGCTTTACATCCTCACCAACACTTGGTATTTTAAATTTCTGATATATGTGTGTGTGGACACTGAAGTTTTAATTCAAATATCCCTGATTGAAATTTAGCATAATTTTGTGTGTTTATTAGCCATTTGAATTTCCTCTTGTGTAGTGTCTAACACGTCTTGCCTAGTTGTCTATAGAATTATCTTCTTATATTGATTCCTAGGAATTCTTCGTAATACATTCTGGACACTTGTCCTTGATTATGTGGCTTGTAAATATCTTCTTCCACTGTGTGGTCTGTACTTCTCTCTCTGTATAATCTGTTTAAGATTGCTTTTTTTGATAAATCAAAGCTTTTAATTTTAATAAATTCTCTTTCATCTTTCCTCTGTGGTTAGTCATATGAAATTCTTACCTACCAAAAAGATATTATATATTATTTCCTATGTTACTACATTTAATGCTATCCATTTCTCTCTAAGTACTGCTTTAGGTGAATCCCACACATTATAATATATATTTGTCATTATTTACTTTAAAATATTATTTTTTATTTTTTAATTTTTTTATTTTGAGACAGAGTCTCACTCTGTCACCCAGGCTGGAGTGTAGTGGCGTGATCTTGGCTCACTGCAACCTCTGTCTCCCAGGTTCAAGCGATTCTCCTGCCTCAGCCTCCCAAGTAGCTGGGATTACAGGCATGTGCCACCATACCCAGCTAATTTTGCATTTTTAGTAGCAACGGGGTTTCGCCATGTTGGCCAGGCTGGTCTTGAACTCCTGACCTCAGGTGATCTGCCTGCCTCGGCCTCCCAAAGTGCTGGGATTACAGGCATGAGCCACCGTGCCCGGCCTAAAATATTTTTTATTTTGATTTCTTCATTGATCCAAATGTTGGTTAGAAGTATATTTGTTAATTCTCAGTGGTATAGGAGCTTTTAGCTATCTTTTTGTTATGGTTTTCTACTTTGATTGCATTGTGACTAGAGAACATAGTCTGTATGATTATACCTTTTGAAATTTTGAGATGTACGTTATGGCTTAGTATATGCCAATTTTTAAAAATATTAATTTGTGGTTAAAAGAGTATATTTCACAATCATTGGGTGCAGTGTCTCTATATATGTATATTCATTAGGTTACTTTTCTTAACTATGTCCTTCAAATCTTACATTCTTACTGTTTTTTAATCAGTCTACTTATTCTATCAAGTGCTGAGAGAAGTGTATTAAAAACTTTCGCTATGATTGTGGATTTGCTGGTTTTTTCTTCTGGTTCTGTTCAATTTTTGCTCCCTATAAATCTTTTTTCTAAATAATAAGTCTTTAGGCCAGGCGTGGTGGCTCACACCTGTAATCCCAGCACTTTGGGAGGCCAAGGTGGGTGGATCACCTGCGGTCAGGAGTTCAAGACCAGCCTGACCAACATGGGGAAACACTGTCTCTACTAAAAATACAAAAATTAACCAGGTGTGATGGTGCATGCCTGTAATCCCAGCTACTTGGGAGGCTGAGGCAAGAGAATCACTTAAACCCAGGAGGCGGAGGTTGCGGTGAGCCAAGATCGTGCCATGGCACTCCAGCCTGGGTAACAGAGTGAGACTCCATCTTAAAAAAAAAAAAAAAAAAAAAAAAAGAGTAAGTCTTTAGATAAAAGTAAAATATTTACCTTATTGTATATTTGCCTTATGGCATATTAAAACTCTTATCATTATGAAGTGATGACCCCTGTATCTAGTCATGTTTTTGTCTTGAAGTCTGTTTATTTCGTTTAGAATTTGCATGGTATAATTTCTAAAAGTCTTTTCATGACTGACATATGTGTATGTGTTTCATAATGTTATATATATAACTTGTAAACAGCCTGTATTTGGACTTCCTTGCCCCTCATTTCATAGTATGTCTTTTAACTGGAGTATTTAGTCCATTTACATTTCATGTACTTTCCCCCATATTTGGATTATATCTACCAATTTGTTTTGTGCTTTCTGTGTGCCCCAACCATTCTGTTTTCTTTCTCTCATTCTTTTCATTTTGCATAAGTATTTTTATTGTATTTTTTACCTCTACTCATTTGTAGTTATATACTCTATTTCTTTTTTCATTTACTGATTAACTTAGAAATCATAATGTGTCATTTCTAAGCCTAAATTTAATCTAGTGTTACTTTTCCATAACGTGTAAATTTCTAAGCCTAAATTTAATTTAGTGTTAATCTAGTGTTACTTTTACATAATGTGTAAATTTCTAAGCCTAAATTTAATTTAGTGTTACTTTTCCTCCAGATTATATAGACCTAAGATCCTTGAATTCCATTGGCCTACCCCAACCACATAATGTGTTGGTGTTCTTTAATTTTATTTTAAAACTTGAGGTTGAATTTTTGCTTTATGAAAATGCCCATTCAACCTTTATTCTTGAATTAAATTTTACTGGGTGAAGAATACCATATTGGCAGAATTTTTTCTGTCATACATCAAAGAAATTATTCAATTGCTTTTTGTTTTCTATTCTTCCTGATGAAAATTTAGCTGTCAATCTACCAGTCATTCTTCAAAGGTAATTTGTCCTTTTTTTTCCCTCCTCAATATATATATGATTTTTTCCATTTATCCTTGGTAATGTTCCACTTATTAAAATTTGTCTAAGTAAGTCTAAATACGTCTAAGATAAACCTTTTTGTTTATCTTCCTTGGCATTTGTAGGGAATCTGGAATATGTGACATGTCTTTCATCAGTTCTGGAACATTCTCAGCAATTATCTCCTCAAATATTGCTTTTGGCTCATTCCTCTTTCTCCTGCTTGAACTCCAACTAGATTCCACATCTTTTACCCACTCCTACGTATTTTCTATTCCTTCACTTTATTTGCATGCTAGATAATTTCATCTGTTTTTCACAACTACCTGTTCACCAGTATCTAATACTGGACCTATCATTGAATGTTTATTTTATTTTTTATTTCTAGAAGTTGTTTGGTTCTTTCTAGAGCTACTAGGTCCTTTTGTGTAGTTCCTATTCCCTGAAGATATTTTTGAGCTTGTTTTTCTTTGTTTAAATAGAGTAGTTTATCTTCTTTCCTCTTTTTCAAAGTTGACTTTAGTTGTTCAAGGGACTTCTTATTTTTTCATATAAATTTAGACCAAGTTGATCAAGTTACTTAAGTTCACTAGAATTTTGATAGAAATTGCATTAAATATATAAGTTAACTTGAAGAGAAGTGACATCTTTAAAATATTAAACCATCCCACACAAGAGTATGAAATGTCTCTCTATTGATCTGTGTCATTGTCTGCGTCCTTTATTGAGTTTTAAAGTTTTCTCTGTGAAGGGCTTATGTATTTTTGGGTAATTCCTAGGTATTTATGATTTTGTTACTATTGTTTTAAAATTTGTTATTGCTAAAGTAGAGCGATACTGTTAATTTTTATAAAATAACCCTGTATCTGGCAACCTTGCTGAACTCTTATTAGGTCAAATAATTTATCTGTTGATTCTCTTAGTTATCCTAAGTAGATGATTCTATTACTTGCAAAAAATGATAGATTCTTTCTCCCCTTCTGATACTTACATCTCTTATTTTTCATTCTTCATAGCATTGGCCAATATCTTTAGTATGTCTTAAAAATAGCAGTGAAAATCTGCATCCTTGTCTTTTTTCTAATCTTATAGCAAATGCATCTAAAGTTTCTCTGTTAAGTAAAATGTTTGCAGTAGATTTTTGGTATTGAATTTTTACCAGGTTAAAGAAGTTCCTTTCTACTCATAATTTGCTCTGAGTTTTTAAAAAATCATACATAAGTATTGAAGTTATGAAATGCATTTTTCTGCATCAACTAAAATAATCAAATGAATTTTCTCCTTTGGTTTCTTTTTTTCCCTCCAGCTTTATTGAGGAATAATTGGCAAATAAAAATTGTATATATTTAAGGTATCTAATATGATATTTTGTTACGCATATGCATTGTGAAATGATTACCGTAATCAAGCTAATTTACATATCCCCTCACATAGTTATCTTTGTGTGTGTGTATGCGTGTGTTAATAATAAAGATCTACTCTCTCAGCCAATTTCAAGTACATATACATTATTATTAGCTGTAGTCACCATTCATATCTCAGGTCTCTAGAACTTTTTCATTTAATAACTGAAAGTTTATGCCTTTTGACCAACGTCTCCCGGTTTTCCCAACCCCTTGATTCCTGGTAACCACCCTTCTATGCTAAGTGAAAGAAGCCAGACACAGACCAATGCTGCATAGTTTTACTTATATGTGGAATTTTTAAAAGTACAACTCATAGAAACAGAGAGTAGAAGGGTGTGGTGGTCCTTTTGCTTATTAATATGACAAATTATATCAATAGGTATTATGTTGTTCAGCCATACTTGTGTTCCTGGGATAAACCTCATTTGATTGTGGTACATTTAAAAAAAGATACATTGTTGGACTTATTTAGTGAATACCTTATTAATGAGCTTTACATCTACACTCATGAGTGGAACAAACCTGTACTTTTCTCCTACTGCTATTATCTGGCATTGGAATCAGTGTCACACTAGCCTGTGGATGGAAGCTGGGCAGCTCTCTCTCTTGCTGGAAAAGTTTATATATGATAAAAACTAACTATTTTTTAAAAGTTTGTAAAACCACCTGGGAATTTGGGGAATTTGGGGGAAAACGTTATTATTTCAATTTCCTTAATAGCCACTGATATACCCAAGTTCTCTATTTCTTCTTGGGTCAGTTTTGGAATTCTGTGTTTTTCTAGGAATGCCTCTCTTAGCATCATATTTTTTAGTGTGCTTCTTAATGTTTAATTTTAATCATTGTAGTTGTTTCCTTTTTATTGTGTACTTGCTTATTTGTATCTTTGACTCTTGATAAGTTTTACTAGAGGTCCACCTAACTCATCTTTTAAAGAATTGATATTTTGGTTTGTTACTCTTCTCTGTTTTTATTTCTATTGTTTTCTCTTCTGTTGTTATCTGCTCTTTTCTATTTTTACTTCTTATATCTTTACGTTTATTCTGATGCTCTTTTTCCAGCTTTTGAGTTAAATACTCATTTGTTTTTAACCTTTCTGTTTTCTTGATAAATGCATTTAAGTTTTCTTAGAAATGCTTTGGCTATATCACATTTTGATATTAGTGCTTTTGTTACCATCAATGGTTAGTAGTTCTTCCTTTTTATGTATTTTTTAAAACCCAGTTATTTAGTAAAATTTAATGTAGTTTCCAAGCATATGGGATACTTTTGTTACTTATTGCTAATTTTTTGCAACATAGTCAGAGAAACACAGTCTGTACAATATCTTTCCTTTAGATTTACTGGGGCTTACATTAAGGCCTAACTGGACTTGCCTTATGGCTGAAAACGGTATCCAAATTTCATAAGTGTTCTGTATGTACTTATCTATATCCTTTGTTCTATTTTATATGTTTTGAGGCAGTGCTACTAGGTGCATCAGGAAGTGACTGTTCATCTCTAGTAACTCTTCTTACTTAGTTAATATCAATAAAGCAACACTAGTTTTCTTTTGGCTAATATTTACCTGATACATCTTTTTTTTTTTTTTTTGCCATTCTTTTACTTTCAGTCTTTTTTTCATCCTTGTGAATTGCTGACTATCACATAAAGAGCTTATATCTGGATTAAAAAAAATCTGATCTGACAATCTCTTTTAATAGGAGCAATTAATCCATTGTGCTTCCATTGATATATTTGGATTGAGTTTTCTCGTCTTTGTCCCACATTCTCATTCTTTTATTCTTTCTGTCCTTGCCTTCATTTAGATTTATCATTTTTAATCATTTTCCCCCTTTTCCTAGTTTGGAAGTTTTCGTCCCCTATTTCTAAAGTTAACCCTAGAAATTTTAACACACACACTTTTAAAAGCTTCAAGTAAATGTTTTCACCATATCCCAAACAGAAGAAGGACCTTTGAGCACTAACTTCAATCACATTTCTGAACATTTAGTTTCCAAACATATGGGTTATTTTAAAGCTGTCCTTTCATTACCTTTTGCTAACTTATTGCAACATGGTCAGAGAAACACAGTCTGTACAATATTGTTTGTTTAGAATTTATTGGGGCTTATATTAAGACCCAATTTGACTTGCCTTATGGTTGAAAACTGTATCCAAATTTCATGAGCGTTCCGTGCCGTACTTATTCTTCTGACCCTTTGGCTGCTTCTCTAGTTTTTTTAATTCGTAAAATGTTCTCTGTTGGTATTACTTTACTCAGTGTTTTATTAGATTTACACTCAGATTTAATCATTTTGCTCACAATTCCTCTTTGCACCTTTCCTCCTGGTATCACTGTCCTTTTGTTCTTTTTGCCTGAATTACTTCAAAAAATATTTTTAGCATTTTCATTAGAGGATTTATGTTTCTTTTAGAAAATACAGTCTAAGGTCCAATTGGTCTTTTGTTTTTGTAGTATGATCAGCAGGAGCCCCTCCTTTAACTAGAGCCTCTCCTCCAGCTCTCTAACAGAAGCTAGGTGAGAAGAAGAGACTTGTGTCAGAGGGACCCTCAGATAGACTGGAGTACGGTGTGCAATTTCGGGTCACTGCAGCCTTCGATCTCCCAGGCTTAAGCAATCCTCCCACCTCAGCCTCCCAAGTAGGTAGGACTACAGGTGCATGCCACCACACCCAACGGATTTTTGTAATTTTCGTAGAGACAGGGATTTGACATGTTGGCTAGGCTGGTCTTGAACTCTTGGACTCAAGCAATCTGTCACCTCAGCCTCCCAAAGTGCTGGGATTATAGGCATGAGCCACATGCCCAGCCAGAGGATAATTTTTTTTTTAAGATTTTGAATTTTGCCTTCATCTACTTTCTTGGAGAGGTCTCCAGAATCAGGAAGGAGTCAGGAGGATAGTTCCTTCCTAGCTCAGTGCCCGGCATATAGACACACTCCATAAGTATTTGTCAAGGGAATGGAGTAAGAAACTTAGAAAACCCAACATTTAAGACTGGGCATGGTGGCTTATGCCTGTAATCCCAGAACTTTGGGAGGCCAAGGCAGGAAGATTGCTTGAGCTTAGGAGTTCAAGACCAGCCTGGGCAACATAGTGAGACCCTGTCTCTACAAAAATTACAAAAACATTAGCCAGGCATGGTGGCGTGTCCCTGTGTTCCCAGCTACTCTGGAGGCTGACATGGGGGTGGTTGAGCTTGGCAGGATGAGGCTGCAGTGAGCTGTGATCGTGCCACTGCATTCCAGCCTGGGTGACAAAGCAAGACCCTGTCTCAAAAGAAACAAACAAAAAGAAAACCCAACATTTAATGATGAAACTCTGCTTGATTCGCTATTTAAGCATTTATATGTAGTCACAAATAAATATTTATTATCAGTTGAGTTATCCATTCTTAACTGCATTAATCTATACAAAAGATATTTAGTAGTTCCCATCAAACTGAGTAATTCAACAGTAAAGATAGTCTTTAAATTGTCATACTCTTAGCACTTAATAAACATCGGTAAACAAAGTACTTGCCTTGGGAAAGCGCTGTAAAAACCACAGAGGATCTTTTGGTAGATTCTGTTCTTGCTCAGGAAAGACTGTTGGCCTTTATCATTGTTTACCACAGGGTGTCACTTCAGAGCAAGGTTTCAAAAAATGCCTTAACTTAGGGGAGCTTGGCTGTTAACCATAGGTCTGGCATTAAACATTGTTTTTAACAGAAGTTTTGTAAGTTGAAAAATACAACACAGATGCCAAACATACGTTCACTGAAACTTGTGCCCAGTCGGCTACCCAAGATAAGTTCAGAAGCTCCTCAGATTGTACCTGTCTTCACTTTTCTTGGAAATGAAGAAAGCCGGGTTCTTGTGAGAGCAGGAGCACACCCCCTCTGCAGCCACCAACACATACACATGGATTTCACATTCTTTTAAGATGACTTGACTGCGTTTGTGTTTATTTTTGAGGTGTTCTGTGTATGTAGTTTTAACTCTGTTATGAAAATGTTGAAACGTGCTAGTGAAAAGTGGCATACAGTTACCATGGAAACAAAACTGAGCCAAGGACATCACTTAGTACCTGCAGCCTCTCCTGATGAAGTGCTGGTTCTTGTGCAGGAGCCTGTGCTCTCTGGAGAGCCATGCCTTTGGTAAAGGTAAAGAACTTCACGAGCACTGCCACTTCGAAGAAGGTTTCTAAAAGTCTAGTGATTTCCATGTCCCTGAAGCCATCCAACTGGATGATCCCTTGTTAGTAGGTTCACAAATTCCGCATAATTCATTCAAAGGGTGACCAGGTTATTTACACGATGTTCCTGGATTTCTCTCTTTGGTGGATGTAACTAGTGTCTGTGCTGACAGATGCCTTGCTTTGCCCCAGGTATGCATGGGGGTGGAACATTGAAATTCAAGGACAAACTTTGGGCTATTGCTACAAATTTGCCACCAAGAAAAAAAAAAAAAGTTCCAGAAGGGGCAGAACAGGTAGTAAGGAAAAGAAACGTGGTGATTGTTGATCAGTGCCTAATTGAGGCTAGGTGGAATCCTTTTTAAGTGGTTTCTTTTGGCCCTGACTGCGGTATAGACACCACAGAAGATGCAAGCATGAATGTTGTTTGCCTTGAGGCTGAAAGAAAAGGATAGAGTTGTAATTGGGTTCTTTTTTTTTATTTTTAAAAATCTTTGCCCTTGAAATGACGGGATCCCCCCAGAAAATATCCATCCAAACCCTTCAAACAAATGGACACACCTAAGTCTAAGTGCAATGAGAAGAAAAGAGGTACTAGCTCCTATAAGATGCCTCTCACAGATAAGAGTATTTCTTAATGTGTTTCTTTTCTTTTTTTATTACAGAGAGGCCAGATACTGGCTGTTTCTTTTCTAAGTTCTGCAGAATGGGAATGTGATCTCTAATGAATTTTTCAGTTTATGAAAGTACTATTATAGAATACTAATTAGGGTGTCCCATGAGGTCTGTCCTTAATAGTTATTACTAGTTACTATTATTACTAGTTTAATCCTTTTTGCTTTGAGATCATCCTTTTTCTTTCTCAATTGGTATTTCTTACCTCTCATTTATAATTTTCTTTTTTTCCAAATTCATATATTTATAGATTCCTCCAAAAGGTAGTTTTATCAGATCTTAAAGTGCTAAATATATTAACTGCTATTTGTCTTAAAGTGTTAAATGTATTAATTGCTATTTGTCTATTAATAAAGGCAGTTTCTTTTCCTTACTTCCTGTTCTGCCCCTTCTGGAACTTTTTTTTTTCTTAGTGGCAAATTTGTAGCAATAGCCCAAAGCATGGCCACTATAGCAAATATGTAGTGGCTATTTAGGTCTCTAAAGCTTGTGATGTTTCTCTACCTCTACCCTCACCACTAGGAGAATTAGAATAAGAGAACTGAAATAAACTCTTATCTGTTGTATTGAGATCTCCATTGGGCATATCAGGTGTTTTATTTGTAGGAGCTTGGGTATTCTGCAGCATTCATCTATTCATTTGTTGAACAAATGTTTATTGAGTGTCTACTATGTGCCAGACACTTCTGTAGGTGTCAGGGATATGGTAGTGAAGAAAAAAAATGCCTGCCCTCACTGGGCCTTACCCTCTAGTGTGGGAGACAGATGATGGACAAGTAAAACATGTAGTATGTTGTATGTGATAAAGGCTGAGAAGAAAATTAAGCTGGGAAGAGAGTGTGAAGAGTTGGGAGGCTACATTGAAATTTAAGGTTAGATGGATGGAGAAATCCTTGGTGCAGATCTATGGGGATGTGCTCTGGTCAGAGGTCAGAGGAGTCTCAAGTGCAAAGGCCTTGAGGTAAGACCGTGCCTGGGATGTCCAAGGAACTACAAGGAGACCAGGATATCAGGAGCAGAGTGGAGGAAGGGTCACTTCGTCTTTACCTCTCACTATCTGCCAGCCGCATCGCCCTGCCTCTCGCACATAGTAACGTCCACATATTCATGGAATGAATTAGTGAAATTGAATTCCAGAACTTTCAGAGAGAAAAACCAACAGCAACTAGACAGGCATGTGACAAAAGAGAAGTCAGATGATGTCACAACTAAAGGTACAGTGCGGGGGAGAGAGTGGTTTTAAGTGGGAGGGATAGACTCGAGTGGGGTTTGAAGTAAAGATGTCAAATACTTGGAGACACAAGTTGGCCGCTTGAGAGAGCTCAGGCAAGAGAGAGATTTGGAAGTGACAATTGAAGGTGAAGGATTGACGATTTCCTCTAGGGAGATGGCTTTGGGCAGGAACTCAGAGAGGGAGGGATTCATTCCATAGGCAGAACCTTGAGGATGGAGGAGAAGCGGGCAGCAAAGAAAAGGAGGAGTTGAGCATAAAGCCAGGGCTCTGTGAACCATGGTGGTGCCATTGATAAGATGATGAGGACCAGACATGTCTGGGATAAAAGTGAACATCAGAATAGAAAATATTTAGTGTTATGCTGAATTGAAATGGGAATCTATGTTCGAGTCTCTCAAAATCACTTGAGCTGTGAGGAGGCAAGATGGCCTCGTTTATGACGTAGCCTTCAGCATAGCGCCGATGTGCCCGTGTCACCAGCAGATGGCGCGCTCCGGGGTGTGAGCTGAAGCACTTCCAAAGGCCCATCTGCCTGGAAACCTTGCTGTCTTGCTATTTAGCTCAGAGCCCTGGAAGCGTTGCTTTTGATGTCTACCATTACTGCTTAACTTAGGAACGCTCTGCCTAGTGAGGGGTCTGTGCTAAGCAGAGTGTTCCTAAATGTAACTGAGCTCATCAAAGGGATGCCTGTTCCCATGTTCAGGTATCAGTAGACATCGTGCTTCGATACTTGGTTTGTGCCTAGTCGATGCACCGAATGATAACTCATTAGCAACAGGCAGGGGACAAGTTTCAGATGGTACTCTTCACAGTAAGACATTAACTGCCAAAAAATGAACAAGATAATTTCGGGTCAAAAGGAAATGTGCTCTGTTTGCCTGTAGACATACCAGAAGGTAGTTTTGCTAAGTCACAACAATCAAGATTGGAAGAAGAGGTTGCTCCGGGATCCCCTTTCTCAATAACAGAAGAAAGAGAGTTGCCAGGTAACATCATGCACCCAGCCAATGGTTCAAGTAGGAGTGGGATAAATGGGTCAGCACAGGATGTAACAACATGAATCACAAGGGAGGTATAGTTTTAAGATCATAGTAGCTACAAAATCCTAAAAACTAAGCTTTTGTGCTTTTGGAGACAAATAAGTTGTTGCACAAATTATAGATAAAAGCAAGTGCCATTATCCCCTAGCATTTTTATTTCTTCCTCGTAACTCTTCCTTCTGGGAATTTTCAGGGCCCAAGGGTTCCTAAAGTTATAGGTCTCTGATATGGTTGATAGTTATCAACCAAATTTTTGTGTGAGAAATATCTATACCGATTAAGAAGAATGATCTGGAATGTCTGCATGTTTGAGGCTGGCCTTCTGGACAAATGGTACCATGCATTTTGAAACAAAGGGCTCCAATGCAACAGATTTGAAAGCATTGATTCCAGACAGCCTGGATTTGAATCCAGGAGCTGCTGGTATGAGCATGCAAGACTTATGCAAGCTCTGTTAAATGGGAATCCTGACAGTACCTACTTCACACAATTTTTGTGAGACTTAATTGATGCTTGCAAATCCCTCAGAACAGCACCAGACCCCTTGCAAGCCCTCTGAAGACTGGCACCCAGAAGCAGTTACACCAGAGAAATACCCTAGCTATATGTCCTCCTTAGAACCTATTACAACACCTTGGCCTGCTTCTTAGACAAAATGTCAGTTGCCCCGATTTAAAGTGCTGGGAAGATATAGAAGAAATGAGCACTTTCCAGAGAGCGAGGTCATGTCCAGGCAGTCAGCGGGGCTTCCATGGTTCGCATCTGTGCTTCCAAATAACTCATCCTCTGGGCAACTGATGAATTGAGCAAGTCTACTTTGAACACTTTGTTAGTTTTATTCCATGTTTTGTTTTTGTTTTCCAGAAGGAATTTCCACTTCATCCCTAGAAGTTGTGCCAGAGAACTTGAACGGTTCTGCCATTCTCCCAACCTTTGAAAACTTCACTAAAAAACGGAAAAGAAAATATGAGGTAGTAGTCCACAAAACTTAAAAAACTAGAGCGTTATGAATCTGGAGGACATTATGCTAAGTGAAATAAGCCAGACAGTACCACATGGTCTCACTTATATTGAAATCTAAAAAAAGTTGAACTCAGAAACAGGGAGGAGAAGGGTGGTTACCAGGGGTCAGGGTTAGAGGAAATGGGAGATGTTGGATGGGGCATACAAACTTTCAGTTACAAGTTAATAAGTTCTGGAGACCTAACATACAGCATGGTGACTATAGTTAGTAATAATGTACTGTATACTTGAAATTCGCTAAGAGAGTATATCTTAAGTATTCCTACCACCCCCCAAGAAGGTAACTGTGTGAAGTAATGAATATGTTAATTTGCTTGATTGTGGTAATCATTAAAAAATCTTTTTTTAAGTAGAGATGAGGTCTCACTATGTTGCCTAGGCTGGTCTCAAACACCTGGGCTCAAGTGATCCACCTGCCTCGGCCTCCCAAAGTGCTGAGATTACAGGTGTAAGCCACCAAGCTTGGCCCGTGGTAATCATTTCACAGTTTATATGTATATCAATCATGTGTATACCTTGAATACATAACACTTTTGTTTTTAGTTTTTTAGAGATAGGATCTTGTTCTGTTGCCAAGGCTGGAGTGCAGCAGTGAAATCATAGTTCACTCTAACCTTGAACTCTTGGGCTCAAGTGATCCTCCCACCTAAGCCTCCCATGTAGCTGGGACTACAGGTGCATGCCACCACACCTGGCTAATTTTTTAAAATTTTTTGTAGAGATAGGGTCTTTCTATGTTGCCCAGTATGGTCTTACACTTCTGGCCTAAGGTGATCCTCCTGCTTCAGCCTCCCAAACTGCTGAGATTACAGGTGTGAGCCACTGTACCTGGCCTGATTTTTATTTGTCAATTATACTTCAACAAAGCTGAAAAAGAGGAAAGAAGGAAAAGGTAGTTCATTATGAATTTAAAGTAACAAGTTCATATTACTTATCAATGCTGTTGTTGACCTTCATATGTGAAAGTGCTTCTAAGTGTTTGGGGAGGGGTATTTGTCTTAGCTGTGGTCACTGATTTCAGTCTTCGTGAATTGTGGTTTGTATTTATAAGACAGCTATTCCATGTCCATTTGCCCCAGTGGGACCAAGTGGACCTATGTGTAAATCAGACTGATAGTTTGGTTTCATTGGTAGCATTTTCAGACAACTGAACTACCAGAAAGCAATGATTTGGTCACAGTGATAGACAAGGAGGAGGGGAAGGATGGAACCAAGTGGGCTAGAGAGGAGTCTGGGGCCGGGCATGGTGATTCATGCCTGTGGATCCCAGCACTTTGGGAGGCCAAGGGGGGAGAATCGCTTGAGGCCAGGAGTTCAAGATCAGCCCGTGCAACATAGTGAGACCCTGTCTCTACAAAAAATGTTTTTAAAAATTAGCCAGACATGGTGACATACACATGTAGTCCCAGCTACTCAGGAAGCTGAGGTAAGAGAATCCCTTGAGTCCAGCAGTTCAAGGTTACAGTGAGCTATGATCATGCCGCTGTGCTCCAGCCTAGGCAACAGAGCAAGACCATGTCTCTATTTTTTTTAAAAAAGAGCAATCTGAGACAAAGACGGAGGTGGACTGTGGGTTGGTGGCCGGCTGAGTGGTGGCAGACCTTTGAGACACTGTGCATACAGCCCATCCCAAAATCTTGTCTACAAGATGAATATTGGAACCATTTCAGTCTTTTCCTTTTTTGTCCTGTTACTTATAATCCCAAATGACTTATTTATTAGTACATTTGAGAAAAGTATATTACTCTAACCAACATTCATTTAATTAACTTAGATCTCCAGAGTCTTATTTTCTGTGATACCAATGTAAGCCAATTAGTAATAGAAATTTATTCATAGTATTCATTGTGTGTATTGGTAGTATATTAGGCCATTCTTGAATTGCTATAAATAAATACCCGAGACTGGATAATTTATTTTTTTTTAAAAAAAGAGGTTTAATTAGCTCAAGGTTCTGCAGGCCATACAGGAAGCATGGCACTGGCATCTGCTTGGCTTCTGGGGAGGCCTCAGGGAGTTTTACTCATGGTGGAAGGCCAAGGGGGAGCAGGCGTGTCACATAGGGAGAGCAGGAGCAAGGGGCGGGGAGGTGCCACACACTTTCAAACAGCCAGGTGTCATGACTCGCTGTTGTGAGGATGGCACCAAGCCATGAGGAATCCGCCCCCGTGACCCGAACGCCTCCCACCAGGCCTCACTTCCAGTATCGGGGATTACATTTCAATATGAGATTTGGGTGGGGGCAAATATGCAAACTATATCAGGTAGCATGAGTGTAAATTTTTCTATTTCAACTTGTTCTGTATTGGTCCTGAACCTGGGGTAATACCTGACAGGTGTATAGGATGATGCCTGATCACACTTGCTTAGCACTCACATTTGCTATGAATATTATTACATGCTGGCAGCATCTTTTTAACACAAAGCATGCACTCAACTTATGTAATTATATTAAATGTGATCATCTTGTTATTGTTGTTATGATTTAGCTTAGGTACAGAAAGCGTCCGTTTAATTCAGAAAATGCAAAGAAAGCACCGGATTGCCTAATAAAACTTTTAAACCAGATGCAACTGTTCAGGTAAGTTTTAGGTTTCAAAACAAGGTCGTGGAAGTGTGATCACTCACCAACAGCGTTTATCTCATGACCACTGTGCTAGGGCCCTGAGGAGTTGGGGCCTGAGCAGATGTGAGGATTGATACATCATTTAACCCTTCTGGGTTTCCGGTTCTTCATTCATATGAAAAGGGTTTGAACTAAATGTCCATCTTAAGCCTCCTCATGGTCTACCATGATACTAAAATGCTGTTCTTAAAAAAATCATTATCCAGTTATGAAGAGAAGGCAAGCATGGAAATATATGTTAAAAATACAGGCTAAATGAAATATGCTATATCCATACAATGGTCTGTTATTCAGCCTTAAAAAAGAATTAAATTCTGACACATGCTATACCATGGATGAACCTTGAAATCATTATGCTAAAGGAAAGAAGCCAGATAACAAGGGACAAATGTTATATGACTCCACTTAAATGAGGTGTACCTAGAATAGTCAAATTCATAGAGGCAGAGAGTGCAACACAGGTTGCCAAAGGTTGGGGAAAGGAGGAGCTGTGGTTTAATGGGTACAGAGTTTCTGTTTGGGATGATGGAAGAGTTCTGGAAATGGATAGTGATGATGGTTACAAAACACTGTGAATGTACTTAATGCCATTGAATTTTATACTTAAAAATGGTTAAAAGGGTATAAATATTATGTTATGTGTATTTTACCACAGTAAGAAAACACCAGCCAGGCGTGGTGGCTCACGCCTGTAATCCCGGTACTTTGGGAGGCTGAGGTGGGTGGATCACCTGAGGTCGGGAGTTCGAGACCAGCCTGACCAACATGGAGAAACCCCATCTCTACTAAAAATAAAAAATTAGCCAGGCGTGGTGGCGCATGCCTGTAATCCCAGCTACTTGGGAGGCTGAGGCGGGAGAATCGCTTGAACTCGGGAGGCGGAGGTTGCGGTGAGCTGAGATCATGCCATTGCACTCCAGCCTGGGCAACAAGAGCAAAACTCTGTCTCAAAAAAAAAAAAAAAGAAAGAAAGAAAAGAAAACACCATACACACACAGTGCACAGATTTGCACATGCACCTGGACACACACACACCCTTATGACCATGTAACAAGAAATACAGAGGTGCCAGGATTTCAGAGGGATGAGGAAAGGTAGTGGAGGGATGGGTTTCTGTAGTGATTTGAGTTAATTCAGAGTGATTACCAATGGAAGTGCTTCCTGAGTGAGGTTTTAGAAACAAAGATTTGAATGGCACAGGGAAGGTGAGAGTAGAAATTGTTCCTTTGTTGGAGAGAATGGCCTGTAAATGAAGGAAGGGAAGAAAGGAATGGCAAGTTGATTTGCTTAACTGAGACAGAAATTTTCTTAGGATGGAATACATTATTTGAATAGAAATTTTTACTATTTTTCAAAGTCTGGTGTGCATGCAATGTCCTTTGAATGTCAAAGCAAGCCCACGAAGGACTTTGGATTGGTGGAATTCCCATGCTCTTTCAGGGGCACACAGTTATCTGTGTATTCACTCAGCAAATGCACACTGGGCAATGTCGGATACCAGGCCCTGTGCTTGGTATGAGAGTGAGGTGAGGATGAGTTTTAGGTGCTTTTCATTGAAACATTTGACCTAATAGAGAAGACAAACTATAAGCAAGCAAATAAGAAAATTAACAAATAAGCAAATATGACCATTAGACAAAGAACAGTGACTCTTAGAAATGTTAGAGCTAAAATGTAGATGTGGGAAAAGAGTGTATTAGCTCATTCCTGACCACAGGTTTCAGGGCCAGCTTAATGCAAGAGAAAGGGGAGCAAGTGGAAGGTAGGAAGGGATGGGGAGCCTCAGTCTCATCTTCCCTGGAGTCATCTGTCCTTTTGTTCTCTACTAAAAAAAAATCAGCTTCCTCTGTGCTGCTATTGAAAGATGACCTGAGGCCAGGCACGGTGGCTCACGCCTGTAATCCCAGCATTTTGGGATGCTGAGGCAGGCGGATCACCTGAGGTCAGGAGCTTGAGATCAGCCTGGCCAACATGGTGAAACCCTGTCTCTACTAAAAATAGAAAAAAATGAGCTGGGCGTGGTGGCACGCGCCTGTAGTCCCAGCTAGTATGGAGGCTGAGGCAGGAGAACCACTTGAACCTGGGAGGTGGAGGTTGCAATGAGCTGAGATCACGCCATTGCACTGCAGCCTGGGCAACAAGAGTGAAACTCCATCTCAAAAAAAAAAAAAAAAGATGACCTGAGAGTTTGCATAGTGAGGTTTCCAGATTGGGGATGAGCAGGCAGGGAGGGGAGGGAAGAGAAGGGAGATACTACATGTTCCCATGACAAGAAATGTCTGGAGAAGAGTCTGAAGTATCCTTGTAATCAGATGACTTATTAAGAAAGTCTGCTGTCACATCCAAGCGATCCCAATGATATTTACTGCTTTTATGTTTATTAGACTCAATAAACTAGAGCGCTTTCAAAATTTGGTTCTTCAAGAGTTGAGCAGTCTTAAGCAGGATATTCAGGCCCTGGAACACCTTGAGAAGGAGGTTCTGGTAAGTTCTTTTTGTGTGGAACATTTTCTGACTTCGGATCTTTCCCAGGGAAAAATAACGCTAGCTACTTAAACAAAACTTTTGTTCAATCTTAGGAATTCTGGGGGAAACAGTCTGCTGATCTGCAATCTTTCTGTGATCTGCAAGTGCTGAGGTACTTTGAAAGGTGTTCTTTCTAGAAGAATCTTGGTTGAAGTATGAGGTAATGCTTTAGCTAGAGAATGGGCAGTTGGTGACGGTAAAACTCCCATAACTAATGAAATAGCTGCATCTTTTGAACCGGCCACTTCTGTGGCACCTCCCTGAGGACAGAGTGCGGCTAATGATACCATTCGAGAGGCGTAAATCTTGAAAAGCCTGATGTCCAATTTTCTGTGTTTTTTTAAAATCCCAATTTTTTTATTTTTAAGCAGTATTTTTTAAAATTAAAATGGTTAGATTTTGAGAAAAATGTTTAGGTTTCTAAGTAAACAGTTTTCAGTTTTATACAAATGTTCAGTTATATACAAAATTGTGCTTTTGATAGACTATATTCTATTTTACTCATTTACACATTTTTTAAAACAACAAATGGGTTGATCCTGCTGTGGCTCCCTGCACTGTAATTCATCAATACATCCTCTGGGGAAGCTCTTTCTATCCATTTGGGATATCGTCCCATCTTCTGGAGCCCAAGGAAGGGGAGAGTTGAGTCTGGATCCTCTACTTCTGCCCTGCGGGAAAATTCTAGTGTTCTTTCCCACTCGAATAATCAAAAGGAATCCCCATATAAATTTATAATAGTTAAAGCTTTATCTTCCAATTGAGAATCAGCTGCTTTCACAGAAATTTAAGGCACATGGTTTTAGGAAGGATATTCTTCCTAAAACCTATGCATATATTCCTATGCATATATTCCAAAGCAAAAAAAAAAATCTTTTAAAATTTGAGTTATCCATCCTGCCTTTTACTCCAATTACCACAGTTAATGATGATGACTGTATGAACCATTTCCACAATCCCTCACACACCATCTCCCTCTGTGTATAGTTAAAGGTGATGACACCTTTTAAACCATCTTCACTTAATACCCATGGTTGGTAGTTAGTGGTTCTCCAAGGTCTTGGAATCAAGACCTCTTTACATATTTAACATTTATTGAGGATCCCCAAAGACCTTTTGCTTATGTGGGTTCTATCTGTGAATATTTTTCATATTAAAAATTGAGACAGATTTTTAAAAATACACTTATTTTAAAATAACAACAATAAACCTTTTCGTGTTGATATAAATAACAGATTTATATGAAAAATAACTATGACTTTTCAGAACAAGAAGCATGTGGGAAGAATAGCATTGCTTCATGTTTTTGCAAATCTCTTTACTGTCTGGCTTAATAGAAGCCAGCTGGATTCTCGTATCTGTTTCTGAGTTTCATCTGTTGTGAGTCATGTAGCCTATGGGAAATTCCCCTGGACATTTTTGAGGGAGTAAGAATTTAAAAAGCAAATAATGTCTTAATGTTATTATTATTACCAAAATAATTTTGACTTCACAGAACCTTTGGTTTCTTAGGGTTTCCCCAGGCACACTTTGAGAACAGCTGATAAAAAGCCACACTGTGTTAAGCACTAGAGATTATATCCCCTAGTCTTCTGAAACCTGGGGGATTCATTTATTTTGACTAAATCCCCAATATTAGGCAACTCTCTCTTCAAACACTTTAAGATGTTAATTACTATTTGCATTCATCTCCCTTTGATAACAGGTCCCTGTGTGAATTTAAATACCTTAAAAACAACCATCTCCTAAATATACCTCCCCTGGGGTTTTGTGTTTGTTCTTTTCTCTTCCAAACACCTAAGAAAACTTTCCTCTTGCTTGCCAGTGAGGGATGATGGTGATTCTCTTAGCTCACGCTGAGTGCTTATGGGTGCCTGGCCCTGGGCTGAGTCCTTGATGTGCAAAGGGCCTTACAAGAGGTTAGTAAGCCTCATTCAAGGTCAAACAGGTATCCCTTGTCTGTCCTTATCTTATGTTTTCATGTCAGTGATGGCGTATGTGTTTTGTTAAAGAAATGAAAAGAATATCCCTCAGACTGGATTATTTCAGCCCCTAGCTTAGAACTACAAGGTGCTAGGGATTCAGTGCTTTGATGGTGCCCATGAAATACCTCTGCATATGTTGTGGGTCTGTGGTACTGACAGAGAGAATGCATAAAATGGAATCAGATGAACATGTTAATCTCTTACGTTAATATCCTGGGGTGTTGGTGTCTATAATTAAGTAATATAATGGTCTGTGAAATAACTCTGATATGCAGATGTATCTAGATGTATGTTCTTGTTTTTAAATTGTCTAATGTGAATATAATAAGAGATGGACCAATTTCTTCCAGGTTCAATTCAACTCAGACTTCATAAGAAAGCCAAAGCCTGGTTTTATGATTGCAGCCCTCAGGTAGGTGCAAAGATTTGCATTGTTCAGTGGATGTGAATCGGGGTCAGGGCAGGGAGCAAGCTCTAAAAGATACTGTAATGCTTTGTTCATATGACATTTCTGCAGCGGAACTTCTCCATTTTTTTTTTTTTTTTGATGGAGTCTCACTCTGTCACCCAGGCTGGAGTGCAGTGGCATGATCTCGGCTCACTGCAAGCTCCGCCTCCCAGGTTCACGCCATTCTCCTGCCTCAGCCTCCTGAGTAGCTGGGACTACAGGCACCCGCCACCACGCCCGGCTAATTTTTTGTATTTTTAGTAGAGATGGGGTTTCACCATGTTAGCGAGGATGGTCTCGATCTCCTGACCATGTGATCCGCCTGTCCTGGCCTCCCAAAGTGCTGGGATTACAGGCGTGAGCCACTGTGCCTGGCAGAGCTTCTCCTTTATAGCAATTTCTCCCATTTTAGAAATTATCCTTTTGGGTCTGGGTCATTCCTTCAGTAAGTGTTTATAACTGAATGCTTACCCTGCATCAATCACTATGATGGACATAGAGATACAGGTTGAGTATCCCTCATCCAAAATGCATGAGACCAGAAGTGTTTCAGATTTCAGATGTTTTTGGATTCTGGAATATTTGCAGAATATGCACTGGTTGAGCATCCTTAATCTAAAAATCTGAAATTCACAATGCTCCAGTGAACATTTCTTTGACATTGACATTTTAAAAATTTTGGATTAAATTAAAAATTTAAAATTTAAATTTTAAAAATTTAAAAAATTTGGATATCAGATTTTCAGATTAGGTATGTTCAGCCTGTTCAGTGGTTAATACACAAACGTGTTTAATGGAGGCAACCCATTAAAAGATACATTTTTTGAAGGAAGATAGAAAAATGGCAAGTAAACAAAACAATGACAACAAGTGCTTTGAGAGATATCAACAAGGTGCTTTGGCAGAGAACAGTGGTATGAAGTGTCAGCTTAAGACACTTCAAGGTCTCTCTGAGGAAATGACATTTAAGATGAGGTTTCAAGAATAAGAAGAAACTAGACTTGTGGTTTAAAGTAACAGGGTCAGGTATGGTCATCTTTGAGAAACAGTGAGTAAGGGAAGCAGTTATTTGAAGTGAATTGGGAGGATGGTAGACTCTCAACGAGGTAAGACTTCATTGTCCATGTTGAGGAGTTTGAATTTTATACTAAGGGTTAGAGAAAATATATGTGGTTTTTGGTGAAGCCATTGATTATCCTAATCTAGGAATAGATTAGGATAATATAATCTGATTTATATTTTAAGAAAATTACTCTAGATGCTATGTTAAGAATTGATGGGAGGAATGAAGACTGGATGAGGAGAGTCCAACCAGAAGGCGTTTGGTGTCCAAGTTGGTGGTTCTAAGCAGGAGGATAGCAGTGGAGGTGGTGAGAAATAGATTTCAGATATATTTTGGAGCTGGAGTTAATAAATTGCTGATAGCTGCAAGCAGTAGGTAAAGGAAGAAGAATGAAGTCAGTCTTCTAGGTTTTTGTCTTTTGCAGTGAGATGGATGGTGTTGCCAGTTAGATAAGGAAGACTCAGGGTGGGAAGAATATGTGGGTCAAACAGGAACTACAGTTTATTTAACATTTTAACTGGCAGATGTCTGTGCACATCCAAGTCTTGACAGGAACCTGGAGTAACTGGGCAATTTTCCAGGAAAATACAGTTTAACAAAATGGACTTCTAAATAGATGGGAAACCTTAGCAGACAAATCTTCATAGAAGAGAGAGACAAAGTTGTCAGAGAAGTACCCTACAAATATGTGTATGATCCAGATTACATTACAGAGGAATTCTACTAGTTTTTTAAAAGAAGGATAATGTTAGTGCTGCTCAAACCATTCTAGCACATAGAAGATTAAACATTTCCTAATTTTAACATAAATCTTGCATTACCATGTCAAAATGCAACAAAAATTGCAAAGAGAGGTACAGAACAATCTCACTTAAAATAACCACTCTAGGCTGGGCCTGGTGGCTCATGCCTATAATCCCAGCACTTTGGGAGGCCAAGGCGGGTGAATCACCTAAGATCAGGAGTTTGAGACCAGCCTGGCCAACACGGTAAAACCTCATCACTACTAAAAATACAAAAATTAGCCAGGTGTGGTGATGGGCAACTGTTATCCCAGCTACTTGGGAGGCTGAGGCAGGAGAATTGCTTGAACCCAGGAGGCAGAGGTTGCAGTGGGCTGAAGTCATGCCACTGCACTCCAGCCTGGGCAACAGAGCAATACTCTGTCTCAATAATAATAATAATAACAACAACAATAACAACAACAACAACCACACCAAAATTCTCAATAAAGTGTTGGCAAACAGAATTTAGCAGCATATTGTCATGACCAAGTGAGATTTATTCCAGGAATGCAAAGATGGTTCGATATTAGGGAATCTACTAATACATTAATTACCAGTAGATCTAGGGAGAAAAATCATTTTGATTATCTTTATTTCCAAAAGCATTTGAAAATTCTACATCTGTTTTTGAATTTGCATAAAACCTAATAAAATAGTAGCGATTAGTTACTCTGTAGTATGATAAATCTCAGTCCAAAAGCCAGTATTCTGCTTAATCGTGAAATTCTAAATGCATTATCACTAAAATCAGGACCAATGGATGGGAGATGGAATAACATAAAGGCGTCCATTCTGCCTAAATTAGTAAAATAATTTTTATTCCCCAAAGCCCCAGCAGGGTTATTTTTTGAAACTTGACCAGCTGATTCTAATGTGTAAGGACAAGGACAGGGGAAAAAGTAGATTGAACATGATTGAAAAACAAATTAGAAAAAAGAGTACTGGTACAAGTCCAAAGCAATTAGAAGGGAGTTAATAATGAGTTTCAAATCTGAAATAAACAAAATGGAAACCATAGGAGGAGGAGTAAAACCAAACCTGGTTCTTTAGAAAGACTAGATGCAGTAAACAAACTTCCACTTCAGACTGATCAAGAAAATAAAATGATAGGGAAGGCACAATGAAATTTTGAATGAAATGTAGAAATAACCAATTCATAGAGGCCTTAAAAAGCATAAGAATATATTAGAAACAGCAATATGTCAATAAGTGTGAAAACTTAGATGAAATGAACAATTTTCTAGATGAATATGATTGAAATGTAGAAATAACCAATGTAGAAATAACCAATTCATAGAGGTCTTAAAAAGCATAAGAAGATATTAGAAACAGCAATATGTCAATAAATTTGAAAACTTAGATGAAATGAACAATTTCCTAGATGAATATGTATTACCTAGAATCATAATTAAAGAAATTAAATTGGTAGTATAAAAAGCCCATCCTTAATTTATAAAAAATACATCAGGTCCTGATATTTTTAATATAAGTTTTATCAAATTTATAAGGAATAAGTAATCCATAAACAAATGATTCCAAGGAAAAAGGGAAAAAAAGAAAGCTTCCCGGTTTATTTTAGGAAGTTTCTATAACTTTGATACCAAAACAGGACAAGGACAATCCTGAGAAGAAAATTATAGATCAGTCTCAAATGAACATAAATACAAAAATGCTAAAAATTTAGCAAATATACTCCACCAGTATTAGTTATGTGTATGGGGTAGAGGGTGTGTGTGTGTGTGTGTGTGTGTGTGTGTGTGTGTGTGTGTATTGAGGAGAAAAAAAGAAAAACCATTAGAAGTAGATGGATATCATACATGCAAGGATGGTTTAACATTTAAGAATCTATTAATTTATTTTTACCTGATCAATAGAATAACCACATACTTATTCTAGTAAATTCAGAAAACACATTTGATAAAAATTCAGCACCCATTCATGAGTAAAATCCAACCAATAAACAATAAGACTCTTAGAAAACTAGGGATAGAATGTCTGCAGCAATACTAAACTTAATGGCAAAACATTTAAAATCATTAACAATAATTTCGGTTCTTTCTTCCTAGTTAGCATAGTGCTGATTCTAGTAACTTCTGGTGGGCCTTAAGTGCCCTTTTGAGGTTTGTAATGAGCTTTCTTGCATGATTTTTCTCCAGCAAAATTCTGCTCAGATTCAGGTGTAAAGAAAGTAGAGAGAAGGCTTCATCTAGGGGAGTGGTTTTGCCAGAATCCAGAGGCAATCTCAGTCCAAGAAATTGAGGGTGTTTGCTCAGGAGTTGTTAGAGTGATGCACTTTGTCTGACAGGGAAAGAGAAATAGAAGCCAGTTCCTTCGATGGACCAGTTATAAAGTAATGGGTTCAATGGATGGGCATTTCCAGTGGATAAAATTGTCCAGGTAAGCAAGGAGAAGAAGTGATGGTGAAAGGCCAGGAAGATGTGGTCAGAATGTGGGATGTTGAGAATCAAGACATCTGTGATGATAACAGGTTGGGGTGCACATAGCTGTGGTGGCACTGAAGAAACTGCTAGAGGAGGGAAGGAGTTGAAGAACCAAGAAGCCAGAGCTTGAAAACGGATGCTTCATGACAGTGTTGTAATTACTGCTAAGCTGATAGGAACCAGGGCCCAGTGGACAAAGGGGCCAGGAGGTTGATAGTAGAATGCAGATGGTTGACATAAACATCAGCAGGGAGGTTTCTGTGAGAGTCAAGAGTCATGCCTGCATGTGGCAGTGGGGAGCAAGGAGAATGCTACCCCTCTGCCTGGCCAGGAAGTCATGGGATATCAGAGGAAAAAAAGCTTTTAGTTGAGTCAGGGTGTCAGGGGAGGTGGTACCTTCAGAAACCAGCCATGTTTTAAAGAGGAAAGGAAATATTTTCTTCCAGAAGAGGCTGAGGATATTTGTTTGCTGCTGACAGATTGAATTGTAGGGGCAGGAGAGAAAGACCTCAGGGAGTGGGGAAGGCAGGGAAGAGCAGTAGGTAGACTGGGGTCCAGGAGGAGATGTACGCACAGCATCAGGTGAGGGTGTGGGGGATGATGACTGTCTTTCAGCAGCTACTAAAGCAAGGGGATTTGAGACCAATGGAGCTGACTTTTCGAAGCTTTTTGAAGGAGGGAGCTTATAGTTATCTCTGAGAGCCCTGTGTTCTGCTGAATGGTCCATCAGCTGATGGTGGTACCACTTCGTGAGTTTTCTGGCAGAGTCATGGAGGATCACAGAGTACATAAGTATGGAATGTGTGAGACAACCACCAACTATTCTCTTCTTAGATGCAGTCTCTTGAAGGACAGCAACCCTCCCACTCAGTTGGATTCTTTGAATATTATTTTGTTCATTCTCACAGCATTTAATAATAGG